>NC_000021.9:11746733-12046733 GCF_000001405.40 Homo sapiens
CAAATCTAGACAGAGAAGCATTCTCAGAAACGTCTTTGTGATGTTTGCATTCAACTCATAGAGTTGAACATTCCCTTTCAGAGAGCAGCTTTGAAACACTCTTTTTGTAGTATGTGCAAGTGGATATTTGGAGCGCTCTGAGGCCTACGGTGAAAAAGCAAATATCTTCCCATAACCACTAGACAGAAACATTCTCAGAAACTCCTTTATGACGTATGCACTCACCTAACAGAGAAGAACCTTCCTTTTGACTGAGCAGTTTTGATACACTCTTTTTGTAGAATCTGCAAGTGGATATTTGGATAGCTGTGAAGATTTCGTTGGAAACGGGAATATCTTCTTATAAAATCTAGACAGAAGCATTCTCAGGGAACTGCTCTGCGATGTCTGTATTCAAGTCACAGAGTTGAACATTGCCTTTCATAGAGCAGGTTTGAAACGCTCTTTTTGTAGTATATGGAAGTGGACGTTTCGGACGGTTTGAGGCCCATGGTGATAAAGGGAATATCTTCCCCTACAAGCTAGAAAGAAGCATTCTGTGAAACTTGTTTTTGATGTGTGTACTCAACTAACAGAGTTGAACCTTTCTTTTTACAGAGCAGTTTTGAAACACTCTTTTTGTAGAATCTGCGAGGGGATATTTGGATAGATTTCAGGATTTCGTTGGAAACGGGAATATCTTCATATAAAATCTCGACAGAAGCATTCTCAGAAACTTCTTTGTGATATGTGCATTCAAGTCACAGGTTTGAATATTCCCTTTCACAGAGTAGGTTTGAAACACTCTTTTTGTAGTATCTGGAAGTGGATATTTGGAGCGCCTTGACGCCTAAGGTGAAAAGGGAAATATCTTCCCATAAAAACTAGACAGAAGCAATCTCAGAATCTTCTTTGGGATATATGCACGCAGCTAACAGAGTTGAACCGTTCTATTGACAGAGCAGTTTTGAAACAGTCTTTCTGTGGAATCTGCAAGTGGATATTTGGATAGCTTGGAGGATTTCGTTGGAAACGGGATTACATATAAAAAGTAGACAGCAGCATCCTCAGAAACTTCTTTGTGATGTGTGCATTCAAGTCACAGAGTTGAACATTCCCTTTCGTACAGCAGTTTTGAAACACTCTTTCTGTAGTATCTGGAAGTGAACATTAGGACAGCTTTCAGGTCTATGGTGAGAAAGGATATATCTTCAAATAAAAACTAGACAGAAGCATTCTCATAAACTTGTTTGTGATGTGTGAACTCTGCTAACAGAGGTGGATCTTTCTTTTGATAGAGCAGTTCTGAAAAACACTTTTTGTTGAATCTGCAAGTGGACATTTGGATAGATTTGAAGATTTCGTTGGAAACGGGAATATCTTCATATCAAATTTTGACAGAAGCATTCTCAGAAACGTCTTTGTGATGTTTGCATTCAACTCATAGAGTTGAACATTCCCTTTCACAGAGCAGCTTTGAAACACTCTTTTTGTAGTATGTGCAAGTGGATATTTGGAGCGCTCTGAGGCCTACGGTGAAAAAGCAAATATCTTCCCATAACCACTAGACAGAAACATTCTCAGAAACTCCTGTATGACGTGTGCACTCACCTAACAGAGAAGAACCTTCCTTTTGACAGAGCAGTTTTGATACACTCTTTTTGTAGAATCTGCAAGTGGATATTTGGATAGCTGTGAAGATTTCGTTGGAAACGGGAATATCTTCCTATAAAATCTAGACAGAAGCATTCTCAGAAACTACTCTGTGATGTCTGCATTCAAGTCACAGAGTTGAACATTGCCTTTCCTAGAGCAGGTTTGAAACGCTCTTTTTGTAGTATATGGAAGTGGACGTTTCGGACGGTTTGAGGCCCATGGTGATAAAGGGAATATCTTCCCCTACAAGCTAGAAAGAAGCATTCTGTGAAACTTGTTTGTGATGTGTGTACTCAACTAACAGAGTTGAACCTTTCTTTTTACAGAGCAGTTTTGAAACACTCTTTTTGTAGAATCTGCGAGGGGATATTTGGATAGATTTCAGGATTTCGTTGGAAACGGGAATATCTTCATGTAAAATCTCGACAGAAGCATTCTCAGAAACTTCTTTGTGATATCTGCATTCAAGTCACAGAGTTGAATATTCCCTTTCACAGAGTAGGTTTGAAACACTCTTTTTGTAGTATCTGGAAGTGGACATTTGGAGCGCCTTGACACCTACGGTGAAAAGGGAAATATGCTTCCCATAAAAACTAGACAGAAGCAATCTCAGAATCTTCTTTGGGATATATGCACGCAACTAACAGAGTTGAACCTTTCTATTGACAGAGCAGTTTTGAAACAGTCTTTCTGTGGAATCTGCAAGTGGATATTTGGATAGCTTGGAGGATTTCTTTGGAAATGGGATTACGTATAAAAAGTAGACAGCAGCATCCTCAGAAACTTCTTTGTGATGTGTGCATTCAAGTCACAGAGTTGAACATTCCCTTTCGTACAGCAGTTTTGAAACACTCTTTCTGTAGTATCTGGAAGTGAACATTAGGACAGCTTTCAGGTCTATGGTGAGAAGGGAAATATCTTCAAATAAAAACTAGACAGAAGCATTCTCATAAACTTGTTTGTGATGTGTTAACACAGCTAACAGAGGTGGATCTTTCTTTTGATAGAGCAGTTCTGAAAAACACTTTTTGTTGAATCTGCAAGTGGACATTTGGATAGATTTGAAGATTTCTTTGGAAACGGGAATATCTTCATATCAAATCTAGACAGAAGCATTCCCAGAAACGTCTTTGTGATGTTTGCATTCAACTCATAGAGTTGAACATTCCCTTTCAGAGAGCAGCTTTGAAGCACTCTTTTTGTAGGATGTGCAAGGGGATATTTGGAGTGCTCTGAGGCCTAAGGTGAAAAAGCAAATATCTTCCCATAACCACTAGACAGAAACATTGTCAGAAACTCCTTTATGACGTATGCACTCACCTAACAGAGAAGAACCTTCCTTTTGACAGAGCAGTTTTGATACACTCTTTTTGTAGAATCTGCAAGTGGATATTTGGATAGCTGCGAAGATTTCGTTGGAAACGGGAATATCTTCCTATAAAATCTAGACAGAAGCATTCTCAGAAACTGCTCTGTGATGTCTGCATTCAAGTCACAGAGTTGAACATTGCTTTTCCTACAGCAGGTTTGAAACGCTCTTTTTGTAGTATATGGAAGTGGACGTTTCGGACGGTTTGAGGCCCATGGTGATAAAGGGAATATCTTTCCCTACAAGCTAGAAAGAAGCATTCTGTGAAACTTGTTTGTGATGTGTGTACTCAACTAACAGGGTTGAACCTTTCCTTTTACAGAGCAGTTTTGCAACACTCTTTTTGTAGAATCTGCGAGGGGATATTTGGATAGATTTCAGGATTTCGTTGGAAACGGGAATATCTTCATATAAAATCTCGACAGAAGCATTCTCAGAAACTTCTTTGTGATATGTGCATTCAAGTCACAGAGTTGAATATTCCCTTTCACAGAGTAGGTTTGAAACACTCTTTTTGTAGTATCTGGAAGTGGACATTTGGAGCGCCTTGACGCCTACGGTGAAAAGGGAAATATCTTCTCATGAAAACTAGACAGAAGCAATCTCAGAATCTTCTTTGGGATATATGCACGCAGCTAACAGAGTTGAACCTTTCTATTGACAGAGCAGTTTTGAAACAGTCTTTCTGTGGAATTTGCAAGTGGATATTTGGATAGCTTGGAGGATTTCGTTGGAAACGGGATTAAGTATAAAAAGTAGACAGCAGCATCCTCAGAAACTTCTTTGTGATGTGTGCATTCAAGTCACAGAGTTGAACATTCCCTTTCGTACAGCAGTTTTGAAACACTCTTTCTGTAGTACCTGGAAGTGAACATTAGGACAGCTTTCAGGACTATGGTGAGAAAGGAAATATCTTCAAATAAAAACTAGACAGAAGCATTCTCATAAACTTGTTCGTAATGTGTGTACTCAGCTAACACACGTGGATCTTTCTTTTGATAGAGCAGTTCTGAAAAACACTTTTTGTTGAATCTGCAAGTGGACATTTGGATAGATTTGAAGATTTCGTTGGAAACGGGAATATCTTCATATCAAATCTAGACAGAAGCATTCTCAGAAACGTCTTTGCGATGTTTGCATTCAACTCATAGAGTTGAACATTCCGTTTCAGAGAGCAGCTTTGAGGCACTCTTTTTGTAATATGTGCAAGTGGATATTTGGAGCGCTCTGAGGCCTACGGTGAAAAAGCAAATATCTTCCCATAACCACTAGACAGAAGCATTCTCAGAAACTCCTTTATGGCGTATGTACTCAACTAAAAGAGAAGAACCTTCCTTTTGACAGAGCATTTTTGATACACTCTTTTTGTGGAATCTGCAAGTGGATATTTGGATAGCTGTGAAGATTTCGTTGGAAACGGGAATATCTTCCTATAAAATCTAGACAGAAGCATTCTCAGAAACTGCTCTGTGAAGTCTACATTCAAGTCACAGAGTTGAACATTGCCTTTCATAGAGCAGGTTTGAAACGCTCTTTTTGTAGTATATGGAAGTGGACGTTTCGGACGGTTTGAGGCCCATGGTGATAAAGGGAATAACTTCCCCTACAAGCTAGAAAGAAGCATTCTGTGAAACTTGTTTGTGATGTGTGTACTCAACTAACAGAGTTGAACCTTTCTTTTTACAGAGCAGTTTTGAAACACTCTTTTTGTAGAATCTGCGAGGGGATATTTGGATAGATTTCAGGATTTTGTTGGAAACGGGAATATCTTCATATAAAATCTCGACAGAAGCATTCTCAGAAACTTCATTGTGATATCTGCATTTAAGTCACAGAGTTGAATATTCGCTTTCACAGAGTAGGTTTGAAACACTCTTTTTGTAGTATCTGGAAGTGGACATTTGGAGCGCCTTGACACCTACGGTGAAAAGGGAAATATCTTCCCATAAAAACTAGACAGAAGCAATCTCAGAATCTTCTTTGGGATATAAGCACGCAGCTAACAGAGTTGAACCTTTCTATTGACAGAGCAGTTTTGAAACAGTCTTTCTGTGGAATCTGCAAGTGGATATTTGGATAGCTTGGAGGATTTCGTTGGAAACGGGATTACGCATAAAAAGTAGACAGCAGCATCCTCAGAAACTTCGTTGTGATGTGTGCATTCAAGTCACAGAGTTGAACATTCCCTTTCGTACAGCAGTTTTGAAACACTCTTTCTGTAGCATCTGGAAGTGAACATTAGGACAGCTTTCAGGTCTATGGTGAGAAAGGAAATATCTTCAAATAAAAACTAGACAGAAGCATTCTCATAAACTTGTTCGTGATGTGTGAACTCAGATAAGAGCCGTGGATCTTTCTTTTGATAGAGCAGTTCTGAAAAACACTTTTTGTTGAATCTGCAAGTGGACATTTGGATAGATTTGAAGATTTCTTTGGAAACGGGAATATCTTCATATCAAATCTAGACAGAAGCATTCTCGGACACGTCTTTGTGATGTTTGCATTCAACTCATAGAGTTGAACATTCCGTTTCAGAGAGCAGCTTTGAGGCACTCATTTTGTAGTATGTGAAAGTGGATATTTGGAGCGCTCTGAGGCCTTCGGTGAAAAAGCAAATATCTTCCCATAACCACTAGAGAGAAGCATTCTCAGAAACTCCTTTATGACGTATGCACTCACCTAACAGAAAAGAACCTTCCTTTTGACAGAGCAGTTTTGATACACTCTTTTTGTAGAATCTGCAAGTGGATATTTGGATAGCTGTGAAGATTTCGTTGGAAACGGGAATATCTTCCTATAAAATCTATACAGAAGCATTCTCAGAAACTGCTCTGTGATGTCTGCATTCAAGTCACAGAGTTGAACATTGCCTTTCATAGAGCAGGTTTGAAACGCTCTTTTTGTAGTATATGGAAGTGGACTTTTCGGACGGTTTGAGGCCCATGTTGATAAAGGGAATATCTTCCCCTACAAGCTAGAAAGAAGCATTCTGTGAAACTTGTTTGTGATGTGTGTACTCAACTAACAGAGTTGAACCTTTCTTTTCACAGAGCAGTTTTGAAACACTCTTTTTGTAGAATCTGCGAGGGGAAATTTGGATAGATTTCAGGATTTCATTGGAAACGGGAATATCTTCATACAAAATCTCGACAGAAGCATTCCCAGAAACTTCTTTGTGATATCTGCATTCAAGTCACAGAGTTGAATATTCCCTTTCACAGAGTAGGTTTGAAACACTCTTTTTGTAGTATCTGGATGTGTACATTTGGAGCGCCTTGACACCTACGGTGAAAAGGGAAATATCTTCCCATAAAAACTAGACAGAAGTAATCTCAGAATCTTCTTTGGGATATATGCACGGAGCTAACAGAGTTGAACCTTTCTATTGACATAGCAGTTTTGAAACAGTCTTTCTGTGGAATCTGCAAGTGGATATTTGGATAGCTTGGAGGATTTCGTTGGAAACGGGATTACGTATAAAAATTAGACAGCAGCATCCTCAGAAACTTCTTTGTGATGTGTGCATTCAAGTCACAGAGTTGAACATCACCTTTCGTACAGCAGTTTTGAAACACTCATTCGGTAGTATCTGGAAGTGAACATTAGGATAGCTTTCAGGTCTATGGTGAGAAAGGAAATATCTTCAAATAAAAACTAGACAGAAGCTTTCTCATAAACTTGTTTGTGATGTCTGAACTCAGCTAACAGAGGTGGATCTTTCTTTTGATAGAGCAGTTCTGAAAAACACTTTTTGTTGAATCTGCAAGTGGACATTTGGATAGATTTGAAGATTTCGTTGGAAACGGGAATATCTTCATATCAAATCTAGACAGAAGCATTCGCGGAAACGTCTTTGTGATGTTTGCATTCAACTCATAGAGTTGAACATTCCCTTTCAGAGAGCAGCTTTGAAGCACTCTTTTTGTAGTATGTGCAAGGGGATATTTGGAGCGCTCTGAGGCCTACGGTGAAAAAGCAAATATCTTCCCATAACCACTAGACAGAAACATTCTCAGAAACTCCTTTATGACGTATGCACTCACGTAACAGAAAAGAACCTTCCTTTTGACAGAGCAGTTTTGATACACTCTTTTTGTAGAATCTGCAAGTGGATATTTGGATAGCTGTGAAGATTTCGTTGGAAACGGGAATATCTTCCTATAAAATCTAGACAGAAGCATTCTCAGAAACTGCTCTGTGATGTCTGCATTCAAGTCACAGAGTTGAACATTGCCTTTCATGGAGCAGGTTTGAAACGCTCTTTTTGTAGTATATGGAAGTGGACGTTTCGGACGGTTTGAGGCCCATGGTGATAAAGGGAATATCTTCCCCTACAAGCTAGAAGGAAGCATTCTGTGAAACTTGTTTGTGAGGTGTGTACTCAACTAACAGAGTTGAACCTTTCTTTTTACAGAGCAGTTTTGAAACACTCTTTTTGTAGAATCTGCGAGGGGATATTTGGATAGATTTCAGGATTTCTTTGGAAACGGGAATATCTTCATATAAAATCTCGACAGAAGCATTCTCAGAAACTTCTTTGTGATATCTGCCTTCAAGTCACAGAGTTGAATATTCCCTTTCACAGAGTAGGTTTGAAACACTCTTTTTGTAGTATCTGGAAGTGGACATTTGGAGCGCCTTGACACCTACGGTGAAAAGGGAAATATCTTCCCATAAAAACTAGACAGAAGCAATCTCAGAATCTTCTTTGGGATATATGCACGCAGCTAACAGAGTTGAACCTTTCTATTGACAGAGCAGTTTTGAAACAGTCTTTCTGTGGAATCTGCAAGTGGATATTTGGATAGCTTGGAGGATTTCGTTGGAAAAGGGATTACGTTTAAAAAGTAGACAGCAGCATCCTCAGAAACTTCTTTGTGATGTGTGCATTCAAGTCACAGAGTTGAACATTCCCTTTCGTACAGCAGTTTTGAAACACTCTTTCTGTAGTATCTGGAAGTGAACACTAAGACAGCTTTCAGATCTATGGTGAGAAAGGAAATATCTTCAAATAAAAACTAGACAGAAGCATTCTCATAAACTTGTTTGTGATGTGTGAACTCAGCTAACAGAGCTGGATCTTTCTTTTGATAGAGCAGTTCTGAAAAACACTTTTTGTTGAATCTGCAAGTGGACATTTGGATAGATTTGAAGATTTCTTTGGAAACGGGAATATCTTCATATCAAATCTAGACAGAAGCATTCTCAGAAACGTCTTTGCGATGTTTGCATTCAACTCATAGAGTTGAACATTCCGTTTCAGAGAGGAGCTTTGAGGCACTCTTTTTGTAGTATGTGCAAGTGGATATTTGGAGCGCTCTGAGGCCTACGGTGAAAAAGCAAATATCTTCCCATAACCACTAGACAGAAACATTCTCAGAAACTCCTTTATGACGTATGCACTCACCTAACAGAGAAGAACCTTCCTTTTGACAGAGCAGTTTTGATACACTCTTTTTGTAGAATCTGCAAGTGGATATTTGGATAGCTGTGAAGATTTGGTTGGAAACGGGAATATCTTCCTATAAAATCTAGACAGAAGCATTCTCAGAAACTGCTCTGTGATGTCTGCATTCAAGTCACAGAGTTGAACACTGCCTTTCCTAGAGCAGGTTTGAAACGCTCTTTTTGTATTATATGGAAGTGGACGTTTCGGACGGTTTGAGGCCCATGGTGATAAAGGGAATATCTTCCCCTACAAGCTAGAAAGAAGCATTCTGTGAAACTTGTTTGTGATGTGTGTACTCAACTAACAGAGTTGAACCTTTCTTTCCACAGAGCAGTTTTGAAACACTCTTTTTGTAGAATCTGCGAGGGGATATTTGGATAGATTTCAGCATTTCGTTGGAAACGGGAATATCTTCATATAAAATCTCGACAGAAGCATTCTCAGAAACTTCCTTGTGATATGTGCATTCAAGTCACAGAGTTGAATATTCCCTTTCACAGAGTAGGTTTGAAACACTCTTTTTGTAGTATCTGGAAGTAGACATTTGGAGCGCCTTGACGCCTACGGTGAAAAGGGAAATATCTTCCCATAAAAACTAGACAGAAGCAATCTCAGAATCTTCTTTGGGATATATGCACGCAGCTAACAGAGTTAAACCTTTCTATTGACAGAGCAGTTTTGAAACAGTCTTTCTGTGGAATCTGCAAGTGGATATTTGGATAGCTTGGAGGATTTCGTTGGAAACGGGATTACGCATAAAAAGTAGACAGCAGCATCCTCAGAAACTTCTTTGTGATGTGTGCATTCAAGTCACAGAGTTGAACATTCCCTTTCTTACAGCAGTTTTGAAACACTCTTTCTGTAGTATCTGGAAGTGAACATTAGGACAGCTTTCAGCTCTATGGTGAGAAAGGAAATATCTTCAAATAAAAACTAGACAGAAGCATTCTCATAAACTTGTTTGTGATGTGTGAACTCAGCTAACAGAGGTGCATCTTTCTTTTGATAGAGCAGTTCTGAAAAACACTTTTTGTTGAATCTGCAAGTGGACATTTGGATAGATTTGAACATTTCGTTGGAAACGGGAATATCTTCATATCAAATCTAGACAGAAGCATTCGCGGAAACGTCTTTGTCATGTTTGCATTCAACTCATAGAGTTGAACATTCCGTTTCAGAGAGCAGCTTTGAAGCACTCTTTTTGTCGTATGTGCAAGTGGATATTTGGAGCGCTCTGAGGCCTACGGTGAAAAAGCAAATATCTTCCCATAACCACTAGACAGAAACATTCTCAGAAACTCCTTTATGACGTATGCACTCACCTAACAGAGAAGAACCTTCCTTTTGACAGAGCAGTTTTGATACACTCTTTTTGTAGAATCTGCAAGTGGATATTTGGATAGCTGTGAAGATTTCGTTGGAAACGGGAATATCTTCCTAAAAAATCTAGACAGAAGCATTCTCAGAAACTGCTCTGTGATGTCTGCATTCAAGTCACAGAGTTGAACATTGCCTTTCATAGAGCAGGTTTGAAACGCTCTTTTTGTAGTATATGGAAGTGGAAGTTTCGGACGGTTGGAGGCCCATGGTGATAAAGGGAATATCTTCCCGTACAAGCTAGAAAGAAGCATTCTGTGAAACTTGTTTGTGATGTGTGTACTCAACTAACAGAGTTGAACCTTTCTTTTTACAGAGCAGTTTTGAAACACTCTTTTTGTAGAATCTGCGAGGGGATATTTGGATAGATTTCAGGATTTCGTTGGAAACGGGAATATCTTCATATAAATCTCGACAGAAGCATTCTCAGAAACTTCTTTGTGATATGTGCATTCAAGTCACAGAGTTGAATATTCCCTTTCACAGAGTAGGTTTGAAACACTCTTTTGTAGTATCTGGAAGTGGACATTTGGAGCGCCTTGACACCTACGGTGAAAAGGGAAATATCTTCCCATAAAAACTAGACAGAAGCAATCTCAGAATCTTCTTTGGGATATATGCACGCAGCTAACAGAGTTGAACCTTTCTATTGACAGAGCAGTTTTGAAACAGTCTTTCTGTGGAATCTGCAAGTGGATATTTGGATAGCTTAGAGGATTTCGTTGGAAACGGGATTACGTATAAAAAGTAGACAGCAGCATCCTCAGAAACTTCTTTGTGATGTGTGCATTCAAGTCACAGAGTTGAACATTCCCTTTCGTACAGCAGTTTTGAAACACTCTTTCTGTAGTATCTGAAGTGAACAATAGGACAGCTTTCAGGTCTATGATGAGAAAGTAAATATCTTCAAATAAAAACTAGACAGAAGCATTCTCATAAACTTGTTTGTGATGTGTGAACTCAGCTAACACACGTGGATCTTTCTTTTGATACAGCAGTTTTGAAAAACACTTTTTGTTGAATCTGCAAGTGGACATTTGGATAGATATGAAGATTTCGTTGGAAACGGGAATATCTTCATATCAAATCTAGACAGAAGCATTCTCAGAAACGTCTTTGTGATGTTTGCATTCAACTCATAGAGTTCAACATTCCGTTTCAGAGAGCAGCTTTGAAGCACTCTTTTTGTAGTATGTGCAAGGGGATATATGGAGCGCTCTGAGGCCTAAGGTGAAAAAGCAAATATCTTCCCATAACCACTAGACAGAAACATTCTCAGAAACTCCGTTATGACGTATGCACTCACCTAACAGAGAAGAACCTTCCTTTTGACTGAGCAGTTTTGATACACTCTTTTTGCAGAATCTGCAAGTGGATATTTGGATAGCTGTGAAGATTTCGTTGGAAACGGGAATATCTTCCTATAAAATCTAGACAGAAGCATTCTCAGAAACTGCTCTGTGATGTCTGCATTCAAGTCACAGAGTTGAACATTGCCTTTCATAGAGCAGGTTTGAAACTCTCTTTTTGTAGTATATGGAAGTAGACGTTTCGGACGGTTTGAGGCCCATGGTGATAAAGGGAATATCTTCCCCTACAAGCTAGAAAGAAGCATTCTGTGAAACTTGTTTGTGAAGTGTGTACTCAACTAACAGAGTTGAACCTTTCTTTTTACAGAGCAGTTTTGAAACACTCTTTTGTAGAATCTGCGAGGGGATATTTGGATAGATTTCAGGATTTCGTTGGAAACGGGAATATCTTCATATAAAATCTCGACAGAAGCATTCTCAGAAACTTCTTTGTGATATCTGCCTTCAAGTCACAGAGTTGAATATTCCCTTTCACAGAGTAGGTTTGAAACACTCTTTTTGTAGTATCTGGAAGTGGACATTTGGAGCGCCTTGACGCCTACGGTGAAAAGGGAAATATCTTCCCATGAAAACTAGACAGAAGCAATCTCAGTAATCTTCTTTGGGATATATGCACGCAGCTAAAAGAGTTGAACCTTTCTATTGACAGAGCAGTTTTGAAACAGTCTTTCTGTGGAATCTGCAAGTGGATATTTGGATAGCTTGGAGGATTTCGTTGGAAACGGGATTACGTATAAAAAGTAGACAGCAGCATCCTCAGAAACTTCTTTGTGATGTGTGCATTAAAGTCACAGAGTTGAACATTCCCTTTCGTACAGCAGTTTTGAAACACTCTTTCTGTAGTATCTGGAAGTGAACATTAGGACAGCTTTCAGCTCTATGGTGAGAAAGGAAATATCTTCAAATAAAAACTAGACAGAAGCATTCTCATAAACTTGTTCGTGATGTGTGAACTCAGCTAACACACGTGGATGTTTCTTTTGATAGAGCAGTTCTGAAAAACACTTTTTGTTGAATCTGCAAGAGGACATTTGGATAGATTTGAAGATTTCGTTGGAAACGGGAATATCTTCATATCAAATCTAGACAGAAGCATTCTCAGAAACGTCTTTTGTCATGTTTGCATTCAACTCATAGAGTTGAACATTCCCTTTCAGAGAGCAGCTTTGAAGCACTCTTTTTGTAGTATGTGCAAGGGGATATATGGAGCGCTCTGAGGCCTAAGGTGAAAAAGCAAATATCTTCCCATAACCACTAGACAGAAACATTCTCAGAAACTTCTTTATGACGTATGTACTCAACTAGCAGAGAAGAACATTCAATTTGACAGAGCATTTTTGATACACTCTTTTTGTAGTATCTGCAAGTGGATATTTGGATAGCTGTAAAGATTTCGTTGGAAACGGGAATGTCTTCCTATAAAGTCTAGGCAGAAGCATTCTCAGAAACTGCTCTGTGATGTCTGCATTCAAGTCACAGAGTTGAACATTGCCTTTCATAGAGCAGGTTTGAAACGCTCTTTTTGTAGTATATGGAAGTGCACGTTTCGGACGGTTTGAGGCCCATGGTGATAAAGGAAATATCTTCCCCTACAAGCTAGAAAGAAGCATTCTGTGAAACTTGTTTGTGATGTGTGTACTCAACTAACAGAGTTGAACCTTTCTTTTCACAGAGCAGTTTTGAAACACTCTTTTTGTAGAATCTGCGAGCGGATATTTGGATAGATTTCAGGATTTCGTTGGAAACGGGAATATCTTCATATAAAATCGCGACAGAAGCATTCTCAGAAACTTCTTTGTGATATGTGCATTCAAGTCACAGAGTTGAATATTCCCTTTCACAGAGTAGGTTTGAAACACTCTTTTTGTAGTATCTGGAAGAGGACATTTGGAGCGCCTTGACGCCTACGTTGAAAAGGGAAATATCTTCCCATAAAAACTAGACAGAAGCAATCTCAGAATCTTCTTTGGGATATATGCACGCAGCTAACAGAGTTGAACCTTTCTATTGACAGAGCAGTATTGAAACAGTCTTTCTGTGGAATCTGCAAGTGGATATTTGGATAGCTTGGAGGATTTCGTTGGAAACGGGATTAAGTATAAAAAGTAGACAGCAGCATCCTCAGAAACTTCTTTGTGATGTGTGCATTCAAGTCACCGAGTTGAACATTCCCTTTCGTACAGCAGTTTTGAAACACTCTTTCTGTAGTAACTGGAAGTGAACATTAGGACAGCTTTCAGGTCTATGGTGAGAAAGGAAATATCTTCAAATAAAAACTAGACAGAAGCATTCTCATAAACTTGTTTGTGATGTGTGAACTCAGCTAACAGACGTGGATCTTTCTTTTGATACAGCAGTTTTGAAAAACACTTTTTGTTGAATCTGCAAGTGGACATTTGGATAGATTTGAAGATTTCGTTGGAAACGGGAATATGTTCATATCAAATCTAGACAGAAGCATTCTCAGAAACGTCTTTGTCATGTTTGCATTCAACTCATAGAGTTGAACATTCCCTTTCAGAGAGCAGCTTTGAAAGACTCTTTTTGTAGTATGTGCAAGTGGATATTTGGAGCGCTCTGAGGCCTACGGTGAAAAAGCAAATATCTTCCCATAACCACTAGACAGAAACATTCTCAGAAACTTCTTTATGACGTATGTACTCAAGTAGCAGAGAAGAACTTTCCTTTTGACAGAGCACTTTGGATACACACTTTTTGTAGTATCTGCAAGTGGATATTTGGATAGCTGTGAAGATTTCGTTGGAAACGGGAATATCTTCCTATAAAGTCTGGACAAAAGCATTCTCAGAAACTGCTCTGTGATGTCTGCATTCAAGTCACAGAGTTGAACATTGCCTTTCATAGAGCAGGTTTGAAACGCTCTTTTTGTAGTATATGGAAGTGGACGTTTCGGACGGTTTGAGGCCCATGGTGATAAAGGGAATATCGTCCCCTACCAGCTAGAAAGAAGCATTCTGTGAAACTCGTTTGTGATGTGTGTACTCAACTAACAGAGTTGAACCTTTCTTTTCACAGAGCAGTTTTGAAACACTCTTTTTGTAGAATCTGCGAGGGGAAATTTGGATAGATTTCAGGATTTCGTTGGAAACGGGAATATCTTCATACAAAATCTCGACAGAAGCATTCTCAGAAACTTCATTGTGATATGTGCATTCAAGTCACAGGAGTTGAATATTCCCTTTTACAGAGTAGGTTTGAAACACTCTTTTTGTAGTATCTGGAAGTGGACATTTGGAGCGCTTTGACGCCTACGGTGAAAAGGGAAATATCTTCTCATAAAAACTAGACAGAAGCAATCTCAGAATCTTCTTTGGGATATATGCACGCAGCTAACAGAGTTGAACCTTTCTATTGACAGAGCAGTTTTGAAACAGTCTTTCTGTGGAATCTGCAAGTGGATATTTGGATAGATTGGAGGATTTCGTTGGAAACGGGATTACGTATAAAAAGTAGACAGCAGCATCCTCAGAAACTTCTTTGTGATGTGTGCATTCAAGTCACAGAGTTGAACATTCCCTTTCGTACAGCAGTTTTGAAACACTCTTTCTGTAGTATCTGGAAGTGAACATTAGGACAGCTTTCAGGGCTATGGTCAGAAAGGAAATATCTTCAAATAAAAACTAGACAGAAGCATTCTGATAAACTTGTTTGTGAAGTGTGATCTCAGCTAACAGAGGTGGATCTTTCTTTTGATAGAGCAGTTCTGAAAAACACTTTTTGTTGAATCTGCAAGTGGACATTTGGATAGATTTGAAGATTTCGTTGGAAACGGGAATATCTTCATATCAAATCTAGACAGAAGCATTCTCAGAAACGTCTTTGTGATGTTTGCATTCAACTCATAGAGTTGAACATTCCGTTTCAGAGAACAGCTTTGAAGCACTCTTTTTGTAGTATGTGCAAGTGGATATTTGGAGCGCTCTGAGGCCTACGGGGAAAAAGCAAATATCTTCCCATAACCACTAGACAGAAACATTCTCAGAAACTCCTTTATGACGTATGCACTCACCTAACAGAGAAGAACCTTCCTTTTGACAGAGCAGATTTGATACACTCTTTTTGTAGAATCTGCAAGTGGATATTTGGATAGCTGTGAAGATTTCGTTGGAAACGGGAATATCTTCCTATAAAATCTAGACAGAAGCATTCTCAGAAACTGCTCTGTGATGTCTGCATTCAAGTCACAGAGTTGAACATTGCCTTTCATAGAGCAGGTTTGAAACGCTCTTTTTGTAGTATATGGAAGTGGATGTTTCGGTCGGTTGGAGGCCCATGGTGATAAAGGGAATATCTTCCCCTACAAGCTAGAAAGAAGCATTCTGTGAAACTTGTTTGTGATGTGTGTACTCAACTAACAGAGTTGAACCTTTCTTTTCACAGAGCAGTTTTGAAACACTCTTTTTGTAGAATCTGCGAGGGGATATTTGGATAGATTTCAGGATTTCGTTGGAAACGGGAATATCTTCATACAAAATCTCGACAGAAGCATTCTCAGAAACTTCTTTGTGATATCTGCATTCAAGTCACAGAGTTGAATATTCCCTTCCACAGAGTAGGTTTGAAAGACTCTTTTTGTAGTATCTGGAAGTGGACATTTGGAGCGCCTTGACGCCTACGGTGAAAAGGGAAATATCTTCCCATAAAAACTAGACAGAAGCAATCTCAGAATCTTCTTTGGGATATATGCACGCAGCTAACAGAGTTGAACCTTTCTATTGACAGAGCAGTTTTGAAACAGTCTTTCTGTGGAATCTGCAAGTGGATATTTGGATAACTTGGAGGATTTCGTTGGAAACGGGATTACGTATAAAAAGTAGACAGCAGCATCCTCAGAAACTTCTTTGTGATGTGTGCACTGAAGTCACAGAGTTGAACATTCCCTTTCGTACAGCAGTTTTGAAACACTCTTTCTGTAGTATCTGGAAGTGAACATTAGGACAGCTTTCAGGTCTATGGTGAGAAAGGAAATATCTTCAAATAAAAACTAGACAGAAGCATTCTCATAAACTTGTTTGTGAAGTGTGAACTCAGCTAACACAGGTGGATCTTTCTTTTGATACAGCAGTTTTGAAAAACACTTTGTTGAATCTGCAAGTGGACATTTGGATAGATTTGAAGATTTCGTTGGAAACGGGTATATCTTCATAACAAATCTAGACAGAAGCATTCTCAGAAACGTCTTTGTGATGTTTGCATTGAACTCATAGAGTTGAACATTCCCTTTCAGAGAGCAGCTTTGAAGCACTCTTTTTGTAGTATGTTCAAGTGGACATTTGGAGCGCTTTGAGGCCTACAGGGAAAAAGCAAATATCTTCCCATAACAACTAGACAGAAACATTCTCAGAAACTCCTTTATGACGTATGCACTCACCTAACAGAGAAGAACCTTCCTTTTGACAGAGCAGTTTTGATACACTCTTTTTGTAGAATCTGCAAGTGGATATTTGGATAGCTGTGAAGATTTCGTTGGAAACGGGCATATCTTCCTATAAAATCTAGACAGAAGCATTGTCAGAAACTGCTCTGTGATGTCTGCATTCAAGTCACAGAGTTGAACATTGCCTTTCATAGAGCAGGTTTGAAACGCTCTTTTTGTAGGATATGGAAGTGGACTTATCGGACGGTTTGAGGCCCATGGTGATAAAGGGAATATCTTCCCCTACAAGCTAGAAAGAAGCATTCTGTGAAACTTGTTTGTGATGTTTGCACTCAACTAACAGAGTTGAACCTTTCTTTTTACAGAGCAGTTTTGAAACACTCTTTTTGTAGAATCTGCGAGGGGATATTTGGATACATTTCAGGATTTCGTTGGAAACGGGAATATCTTCATATAAAATCTCGACAGAAGCATTCTCAGAAACTTCATTGTGATATCTGCATTCAAGTCACAGAGTTGAATATTCCCTTTCAGAGAGTAGGTTTGAAACACTCTTTTTGTAGTATCTGGAAGTGGACATTTGGAGCGCCTTGACACCTACGGTGAAAAGGGAAATATCTTCCCATTAAAACTAGACAGAAGCAATCTCAGAATCTTCTTTGGGATATATGCACGCAGCTAACAGAGTTGAACCTTTCTATTGACAGAGCAGTTTTGAAACAGTCTTTCTGTGGAATCTGCAAGTGGATATTTGGTTAGCTTGGAGGATTTCGTTGGAAACGTCATTACGTATAAAAAGTAGACAGCAGCATCCTCAGAAACTTCTTTGTGATGTGTGCATTCAAGTCACAGAGTTGAACATTCCCTTTCGTACAGCAGTTTTGAAACACTCTTTCTGTAGTATCTGGAAGTGGACATTAGGACAGCTTTCAGGTCTATGGTGAGAAAGGAAATATCTTCAAATAAAAACTAGACAGAAGCATTCTCATAAACTTGTTTGTGATGTGTGAACTCAGCTAACAGAGGTGGATCTTTCTTTTGATAGAGCAGTTCTGAAAAACACTTTTTGTTGAATCTGCAAGTGCACATTTGGATAGATTAGAAGATTTCGTTGGAAACGGGAATATCTTCATATCAAATCTAGACAGAAGCATTCTCAGAAACCGTCGTTGTGATGTTTGCATTCAACTCATAGAGTTGAACATTCCGATTCAGAGAGCAGCTTTGAGGCACTCTTTTTGTAGTATGTGCAAGTGGATATTTGGAGCGCTCTGAGGCCTACGGTGAAAAAGCAAATATCTTCCCATAACCACTAGACAGAAACATTCTCAGAAACTCCTTTATGACGTATGCACTCACCTAACAGAGGAGAACCTTCCTTTTGACAGAGCAGTTTTGATACACTCTTTTTGTAGAATCTGCAAGTGGATATTTGGATAGCTGTGAAGATTTCGTTGGAAACGGGAATATCTTCCTATAAAATCTAGACAGAAGCATTCTCAGAAACTGCTCTGTGATGTCTGCATTCAAGTCACAGAGTTGAACATTGCCTTTCATAGAGCAGGTTTGAAACGCTCTTTTTGTAGTATATGGAAGTGGACGTTTCGGACGGTTTGAGGCCAATGGTGATAAAGGGAATATCTTCCCCTACAAGCTAGAAAGAAGCATTCTGTGAAACTTGTTTGTGATGTGTGTACTCAACTAACAGAGTTGAACCTTTCTTTTTACAGAGCAGTTTTGAAACACTCTTTTTGTAGAATCTGCGAGGGGATATTTGGATAGACTTCAGGATTTCGTTGGAAACGGGAATATCTTCATATAAAATCTCGACAGAAGCATTCTCAGAAACTTCTTTGTGCTATCTGCATTCAAGTCACAGAGTTGAATATTCCCTTTCACAGAGTAGGTTTGAAACACTCTTTTTGTAGTATCTGGAAGTGGACATTTGGAGCGCCTTGACACCTAAAGTGAAAAGGGAAATATCTTCCCATAAAAACTAGACAGAAGCAATCTCAGAATCTTCTTTGGGATATATGTACGCAGCTAATAGAGTTGAACCTTTCTATTGACAGAGCAGTTTTGAAACAGTCTTTCTGTGGAATCTGCAAGGGGATATTTGGATAGCTTGGAGGATTTCGTTGGAAACGGGATTACTGTATAAAAAGTAGACAGCAGCATCCTCAGAAACTTCTTTGTGATGTGTGCATTCAAGTCACAGAGTTGAACATTCCCTTTCGTACAGCAGTTTTGAAACACTCTTTCTGTAGTATCTGGAAGTGAACCATTAGGACAGCTTTCAGCTCTATGGTGAGAAAGGAAATATCTTCAAATAAAAACTAGACAGAAACATTCTCATAAACTTGTTTGTGATGTGTGAACTCAGCTAACAGAGGTGGATCTTTCTTTTGATAGAGCAGTTCTGAAAAACACTTTTTGTTGAATCTGCAAGTGGACATTTGGATAGATTTGAAGATTTCGTTGGAAACGGGAATATCTTCATATCAAATCTAGACAGAAGCATTCTCAGAAACGTCTTTGCGATGTTTGCATTCAACTCATAGAGTTGAACATTCCGTTTCAGAGAGCAGCTTTGAGGCACTCTTTGTAGTATGTGCAAGTGGATATTTGGAGCGCTCTGAGGCCTACGGTGAAAAAGCAAATATCTTCCCATAACCACTAGACAGAAACATTCTCAGAAACTCCTTTCTGACGTATGCACTCACCCAACAGAGAAGAACCTTCCTTTTGACAGAGCAGTTTTGATACACTCTTTTTGTAGAATCTGCAAGTGGATATTGGGATAGCTGTGAAGATTTCGTTGGAAACGGGAATATCTTCCTATAAAATCTAGACAGAAGCATTCTCAGAAACTGCTCTGTGATGTCTGCATTCAAGTCACAGAGTTGAACATTGCTTTTCATAGAGCAGGTTTGAAACGGTCTTTTTGTAGTATATGGAAGTAGACGTTTCGGACGGTTTGAGGCCCATGGTGATAAAGGGAATATCTTCCCCTACAAGCTAGAAAGAAGCATTCTGTGAAACTTGTTTGTGATGTGTGTACTCAACTAACAGAGTTGAACCTTTCTTTTTACAGAGCAGTTTTGAAACACTCTTTTTGTAGAATCTGCGAGGGGATATTTGGATAGATTTCAGGATTTTGTTGGAAACCGGAATATCTTTATATAAAATCTGGACAGAAGCATTCTCAGAAACTTCTTTGTGATATCTGCATTCAAGTCACAGAGTTGAATATTCCCTTCCACAGAGTAGGTTTGAAACACTCTTTTTGTGGTATCTGGAAGTGGACATTTGGAGCGCCTTGACGCCTACGGTGAAAAGGGAAATATCTTCCCATAAAAACTAGACGGAAGCCATCTCAGAATCTTCTTTGGGATATATGCACGCAGCTAACAGAGTTGAACCTTTCTATTGACAGAGCAGTTTTGAAACAGTCTTTCTGTGGAATCTGCAAGTGGATATTTGGATAGCTTGGAGGATTTCGTTGGAAACGGGATTACGCATAAAAAGTAGACAGCAGCATCCTCAGAAAATTCTTTGTGATGTGTGCATTCAAGTCACAGAGTTGAACATTCCCTTTCGTACAGCAGTTTTGAAACACTCTTTCTGTAGTATCTGGAAGTGAACATTAGGACAGCTTTCAGGTCTTTGGTGAGAAAGGAAATATCTTCAAATAAAAACTAGACAGAAGCATTCTCATAAACTTGTTTGTGATGTGTGAAGTCAGCTAACAGAGGTGGATCTTTCTTTTGATAGAGCAGTTCTGAAAAACACTTTTTGTTGAATCTGCAAGTGGACATTTGGATAGATTTGAAGATTTCGTTGGAAACGGGAATATCTTCATATCAAATCTAGACAGAAGCATTCTCAGAAACGTCTTTGCGATGTTTGCATTCAACTCATAGAGTTAAACATTCCGTTTCAGAGAGCAGCTTTGAAGCACTCTTTTTGTAGTATGTGCAAGTGGATATTTGGAGCGCTCTGAGGCCTACGGTGAAAAAGCAAATATCTTCCCATAACCACTAGACAGAAACATTCTCAGAAACTCCTTTATGACGTATGCACTCACCTAACAGAGAAGAACCTTCCTTTTGACAGAGCAGTTTTGATACACACTTTTTGTAGAATCTGCAAGTGGATATTTGGATAGCTGTGAAGATTTCGTTGGAAACGGGAATATCTTCCTATAAAATCTAGACAGAAGCATTCTCAGAAACTGCTCTGTGATGTCTGCATTCAAGTCACAGAGTTGAACATTGACTTTCATAGAGCAGGTTTGAAACGCTCTTTTTGTAGTATATAAAAGTGGACGTTTCGGACGGTTTGAGGCCCATGGTGATAAAGGGAATATCTTCCCCTACAAGCTAGAAAGAAGCATTCTGTGAAACTTGTTTGTGATGTGTGTACTCAACTAACAGAGTTGAACCTTTCTTTTTACAGAGCAGTTTTGAAACACTCTTTTTGTAGAATCTGCGAGGGGATATTTGGATACATTTCAGCATTTCGTTGGAAACGGGAATAAATTCATATAAAATCTCGACAGAAGCATTCTCAGAAACTTCTTTGTGATATCCTGCATTCAAGTCACAGAGTTGAATATTCCCTTTCACAGAGTAGGTTTGAAACACTCTTTTTGTAGTATCTGGAAGTGGACATTTGGAGCGCCTTGACGCCTACAGTGAAAAGGGAAATATCTTCCCATAAAAACTAGACAGAAGCAATCTCAGAATTTTCTTTGGGATATATGCACATAGCTAACAGAGTTGAACCTTTCTTTTTACAGAGCAGTTTTGAAACACTCTTTTTGTAGAATCTGCAAGTGGATATTTGGATAGCTTGGAGGATTTCGTTGGAAACGGGATTACGTATAAAAAGTAGACGGCAGCATCCTCAGAAACTTCTTTGTGATGTGTGCATTCAAGTCACAGAGTTGAACATTCCTTTTCGTACAGCAGTTTTGAAACACTCTTTCTGTAGTATCTGGAAGTGAACATTAGGACAGCTTTCAGGTCTATGGTGAGAAAGGAAATATCTTCAAATAAAAACTAGACAGAAGCATTCTCATAAACTTGTTTGTGATGTGTGAACTCAGCTAACAGAGGTGGATCTTTCTTTTGATAGAGCAGTTCTGAAAAACACTTTTGGTTGAATCTGCAAGTGGACATTTGGATAGATTTGAAGATTTCGTTGGAAACTTGAATATCTTCATATCAAATCTAGAGAGAAGCATTCTCAGAAACGTCTTTGTGATGTTTGCATTCAACTCATAGAGTTGAACATTCCGTTTCAGAGAGCAGCTTTGAAGCACTCTTTTTGTAGTATCTGCAAGTGGATATTTGGAGTGCTCTGAGGCCTACGGTGAAAAAGCAAATATCTTCCCATAACCACTAGACAGAAACATTCTCAGAAACTCCTTTATGACGTATGTACTCAACTAACAGAGAAGAACCTTCCTTTTGACAGAGCAGTTTTGATACACTCTTTTTGTAGAATCTGCAAGTGCATATTTGGATAGCTGTGAAGATTTCGTTGGAAACTGGAATATCTTCCTATAAAATCTAGACAGAAGCATTCTCAGAAACTGCTCTGTGATGTCTGCATTCAAGTCACAGAGTTGAACATTGCCTTTCATAGAGCAGGTTTGAAACGCTCTTTTTGTAGTATATGGAAGTAGACGTTTCGGACGGCTTGAGGCCCATGGTGATAAAGGGAATATCTTCCCCTACAAGCTAGAAAGAAGCATTCTGTGAAACTTGTTTGTGATGTGTGTACTCAACTAACAGTGTTGAACCTTTCTTTTTACAGAGCAGTTTTGAAACACTCTTTTTGTAGAATCTGCGAGGGGATATTTGGATAGATTTCAGGATTTCGTTGGGAACGGGAATATCTTCATATAAAATCTCGACAGAAGCATTCTCAGAAACTTCTTTGTGATATGTGCATTCAAGTCACAGAGTTGAATATTCCCTTTCACAGAGTAGGTTTGAAACACTCTGTTTGTAGTATCTGGAAGTGGACATTTGGAGCGCCTTGACGCCTACGGTGAAAAGGGAAATATCTTCCCATAAAAACTAGACAGAAGCAATCTCAGAATCTTCTTTGGGATATATGCACGCAGCTAGCAGAGTTGAACCTTTCTATTGACAGAGCAGTTTTGAAACAGTCTTTCTGTGGAATCTGCAAGTGGATATTTGGATAGCTTGGAGGATTTCGTTGGAAACGGGATTACGTATAAAAAGTAGACAGCAGCATCCTCAGAAACTTCTTTGTGATGTGTGCATTCAAGTCACAGAGTTGAACATTCCCTTTCGTACAGCAGTTTTGAAACACTCTTTCTGTAGTATCTAGAAGTGAACATTAGGACAGCTTTCAGCTCTATGGTGAGAAAGGAAATATCTTCAAATAAAAACTAGACAGAAGCATTCTCATAAACTTGTTTGTGATGTGTGAACTCAGCTAACAGAGGTGGATCTTTCTTTTGATAGAGCAGTTCTGAAAAACACTTTTTGTTGAATCTGCAAGTGGACATTTGGATAGATTTGAAGATTTCGTTGGAAACGGGAATATCTTCATATCAATCTAGACAGAAGCATTCTCAGAAACGTCTTTGTGATGTTTGCATTCAACTCATAGAGTTGAACATTCCGTTTCAGAGAGCAGCTTTGAGGCACACTTTTTGTAGTATGTGCAAGTGGATATTTGGAGCGCTCTGAGGCCTACGGTGAAAAAGCAAATATCTTCCCATAACCACTAGACAGAAACATTCTCAGAAACTGCTTTATGACGCATGCACTCACCTAACAGAGAAGAACCTTCCTTTTGACAGAGCAGCTTTGATACACTCTTTTTGTAGAATCTGCAAGTGGATATTTGGATAGCTGTGAAGATTTCGTTGGAAACGGGAATATCTTCCTATAAAATCTAGACAGAAGCATTCTCATAAACTGCTCTGTGATGTCTGCATTCAAGTCACAGAGTTGAACATTGCCTTTCCTAGAGCAGGTTTGAAACGCTCTTTTTGTAGTATATGGAAGTGGACGTTTCGGACGGTTTGAGGCCCATGGTGATAAAGGGAATATCTTCCCCTACAAGCTAGAAAGAAGCATTCTGTGAAACTTGTTTGTGATGTGTGTACTCAACTAAGAGAGTTGAACCTTTCTTTTCACAGAGCAGTTTTGAAACACTCTTTTTGTAGAATCTGCGAGGGGATATTTGGATAGATTTCAGGATTTCGTTGGAAACGGGAATATCTTCATACAAAATCTCGACAGAAGCATTCTCAGAAACTTCTTTGTGATATCTGCCTTCAAGTCACAGAGTTGAATATTCCCTTTCACTGAGTAGGTTTGAAACACTCTTTTTGTAGTATCTGGAAGTGGACATTTGGAGCGCCTTGACGCCTACGGTGAAAAGGGAAATATCTTCCCATAAAAACTAGACAGAAGCAATCTCAGAATCTTCTTTGGGATATATGCATGCAGCTAACAGAGTTGAACCTTTCTATTGGCAGAGCAGTTTTGAAACAGTCTTTCTGTGGAATCTGCAAGTGGATATTTGGATAGCTTGGAGGATTTCGTTGGAAACGGGATTAAGTATAAAAAGTAGACAGCAGCATCCTCAGAAACATCCTTGTGATGTGTGCATTCAAGTCACAGAGTTGAACATTCCCTTTCGTACAGCAGTTTTCAAACACTCTTTCTGTAGTATCTGGAAGTGAACTTTAGGAGAGCTTTCAGGTCTATAGTGAGAAAGGATATATCTTCAAATAAAAACTAGACAGAAGCATTCTCATAAACTTGTTTGTGATCTGTGAACTCAGCTAAGAGACGTGGATCTTTCTTTTGATAGAGCAGTTCTGAAAAACACTTTTTGTTGAATCTGCAAGTGGACATTTGGATAGATTTGAAGATTTCTTTGGAAACGGGAATATCTTCATATCAAATCTAGACAGAAGCTTTCTCAGAAACGTCTTTGTGATGTTTGCATTCAACTCATAGAGTTGAACATTCCGTTTCAGAGAGCAGCTTTGAAGCACTCTTTTTGTAGTATGTGCAAGGGGATATTTGGAGCGCTCTGAGTCCTAAGGTGAAAAAGCAAATATCTTCCCATAACCAATAGACAGAAGCATTCTGTGAAACTTGTTTGTGATGTGTTTACTCAACTAACAGAGTTGAACTTTTCTTTTGATAGAGCAGTTTTCAAACATTCTTTTTGTAGAGTCTGCAAGTGGATATTTGGCTAGCTTTGAGGATTTTGTTGGAAACGGGAATATCTTCACATAAAAACTAGGCAGAAGCATTCTCTGAAACTTCTTTGTGTTGTTTGCATTTAACTCACAGAGTTGAACATTCCCTTTCATACAGCAGTTCTGAAACACTCATTTTGTAGTAGATGGAAGTGGACACTTGGACTGCTTCGAGGCCTATGGTGAAAAAGGTAGTACCCTCACATAAAAACTAGACAGAAGCATTCTGTGAAACTTGTTTGTGATGTGTGTACTCAACTAACAGACTTGAACCTTTCTTTTTACAGAGCAGTTTTGAAACACTCTTTTTGTAGAATCTGCGAGGGGATATTTGGATAGATTTCAGGATTTCGTTGGAAAGGGGAATATCTTCATATAAAATCTCGACAGAAGCATTCTCAGAAACTTCTTTGTGATATGTGCATTCAAGTCACAGAGTTGAATATTCCCTTTTACACAGTAGGTTTGAAACACTCTTTTTGTAGTATCTGGAAGTGAACATTTGGAGCGCCTTGACGCCTACGGTGAAAAGGGAAATATCTTCTCATAAAAAGTAGACAGAAGCAATCTCAGAATCTTCTTTGGGATATATGCACGCAGCTAACAGAGTTGAACCTTTCTATTGACAGAGTAGTTTTGAAACAGTCTTTCTGTGGAATCTGCAAGTGGATATTTGGATAGCTTGGAGGACTTCGTTGGAAACGGGATTAAGTATAAAAAGTAGACAGCAGCATCCTCAGAAACTTCTTTGTGATGTGTGCATTCAAGTCACAGAGTTGAACATTCCCTTTCGTACTGCAGTTTTGAAACACTCTTTCTGTAGTATCTGGAAGTGAACATTAGGACAGCTTTCAGCTCTATGGTGAGAAAGGAAATATCTTCAAATAAAAACTAGACAGAAGCATTCTCATAAACTTGTTCGTGATGTGTGAACTCAGCTAACACACGTGGATCTTTCTTTTGATAGAGCAGTTCTGAAAAACACTTTTTGTTGAATCTGCAAGAGGACAGTTGGATAGATTTGAAGATTTCGTTGGAAACGGGAATATCTTCCATATCAAATCTAGACAGAAGCATTCTCAGAAACGTCTTTGTGATGTTTGCATTCAACTCATAGAGTTGAACATTCCGTTTCAGAGAGCAGGTTTGAAGCACTCTTTTTGTAGTATGTGCAAGTGGATATTTGGAGGGCTCTGAGGCCTACGGTGAAAAAGCAAATATCTTCCCATAACCACTAGACAGAAACATTCTCAGAAACTCCTTTACGACGTATGCACTCACCTAACAGAGGAGAACCTTCCTTTTGACAGAGCAGTTTTGATACACTCTTTTTGTAGAATCTGCAAGTGGATATTTGGATAGCTGTGAAGATTTCGTTGGAAACGGGAATATCTTCCTATAAAATCTAGACAGAAGCATTCTCAGAAACTGCTCTGTGATGTCTACATTGAAGTCACAGAGTTGAACATTGCCTTTCATAGAGCAGGTTTGAAACGCTCTTTTTGTAGTATATGGAAGTGGACGTTTCGGACGGTTTGAGGCCCATGGTGATAAAGGGAATATCTTTCCCTACAAGCTAGAAAGAAGCATTCTGTGAAACTTGTTTGTGATGTGTGTACTCAACTAACAGAGTTGAACCTTTCTTTTTACAGAGCAGTATTGAAACACTCTTTTTGAAGAATCTGCGAGGGGATATTTGGATAGATTTCAGGATTTCGTTGGAAACGGGAATATCTTCATATAAAATCTCGACAGAAGCATTCTCAGAAACTTCCTTGTGATATGTGCATTGAAGTCACAGAGTTGAATATTCCCTTTCACAGAGTAGGTTTGAAACACTCTTTTTGTAGTATCTGGAAGTGGACATTTGGAGCGCCTTGACGCCTACGGTGAAAAGGGAAATATCTACCAATAAAAACTAGACAGAAGCAATCTCAGAATCTTCTTTGGGATATATGCACGCAGCTAACAGAGTTGAACGTTTCTATTGACAGAGCAAGTTTTGAAACAGTCTTTCTGTGGAATCTGCAAGTGGATATTTGGATAGCTTGGAGGATTTCGTTGGAAACGGGATTACGTATAAAAAGTAGACAGCAGCATCCTCAGAAACTTCTTTGTGATGTGTGCATTCAAGTCACAGAGTTGAACATTCCCTTTCGTACAGCAGTTTTGAAACACTCTTTCTGTAGTACCTGGAAGTGAACATTAGGACAGCTTTCAGCTCTATGGTGAGAAAGGAAATATCTTCAAATAAAAACTAGACAGAAGCATTCTCATATACTTGTTTGTGATGTGTGAACTCAGCTAACAGAGGTGGATCTTTCTTTTGATAGAGCAGTTGTGAAAAACACTTTTTGTTGATTATGCAAGTGGACATTTGGATAGATTTGAAGATTTCGTTGGAAACGGGAATATCTTCATATCAAATCTAGACAGAAGCATTCTCAGAAACGTCTTTGTGATGTTTGCATTCAACTCATAGAGTTGAACATTCCGTTTCAGAGAGCAGCTTTGAAGCACTCTTTTTGTAGTATGTGCAAGGGGATATTTGGAGCGCTCTGAGGCCTAAGGTGAAAAAGGAAATATCTTCCCATAACCACTAGACAGAAACATTCTCAGAAACTCCTTTATGACGTATGCACTCACCTAACAGAGAAGAACCTTCCTTTTGACAGAGCAGTTTTGATACACTCTTTTTGTAGAATCTCCAAGTGGATATTTGGATAGCTGTGAAGATTTCGTTGGAAACGGGAATATCCTCCTATAATATCTAGACAGAAGCATTCGCAGAAACTGCTCTGTGATGTCTGCATTCAAGTCACAGAGTTGAACATTGCCTTTCATAGAGCCGGTTTGAAACGCTCTTTTTGTAGTATATGGAAGTGGATGTTTCGGACGGTTGGAGGCCCATGGTGATAAAGGGAATATCTTCCCCTACAAGATAGAAAGAAGCATTCTGTGAAACTTGTTTGTGATGTGTGTACTCAACTAACGGAGTTGAACCTTTCTTTTTACAGAGCAGTTTTGAAACACTCTTTTTGTAGAATCTGCGAGGGGATATTTGGATAGATTTCAGGATTTCGTTGGAAACGGGAATATCTTCATAGAAAATCTCGACAGAAGCATTCTCAGAAACTTCTTTGTGATATGTGCATTCAAGTCACAGAGTTGAATATTCCCTTTCACAGAGTAGGTTTGAAACACTCTTTTTGTAGTATCTGGAAGTGGCCATTTGGAGCGCCTTGACACCTACGGTGAAAAGGGAAATATCTTCCCATAAAAACTAGACAGAAGCAATCTCAGAATCTTCTTTGGGATATATGCACGCAGCTAACAGAGTTGAACCTTTCTATTGCCAGAGCAGTTTTGAAACAGTCTTTCTGTGGAATCTGCAAGTGGATATTTGGATAGCTTGGAGGATTTCGTTGGAAACGGGATTACGTATAAAAAGTAGACAGCAGCATCCTCAGAAACTTCTTTGTGATGTGTGCATTCAAGTCACAGAGTTGAACATTCCCTTTCGTACAGCAGTTTTGAAACACTCTTTCTGTAGTATCTGGAAGTGAACTTTAGGAGAGCTTTCAGGTCTATAGTGAGAAAGGATATATCTTCAAATAAAAACTAGACAGAAGCATTCTCATAAACTTGTTTGTGATGTGTCAACTCAGCTAACAGAGGTGGATCTTTCTTTTGATAGAGCAGTTCTGAAAAACACTTTTTGTTGAATCTGCAAGTGGACATTTGGATAGATTTGAAGATTTCGTTGGAAACGGGAATATCTTCATATCAAATCTAGACAGAAGCATTCTCAGAAACGTCTTTGTGATGTTTCAATTAAACTCATGGAGATGAACATTCCCTTTCAGAGAGCAGCTTTGAAGCACTCTTTTTGTAGTATGTGCAAGTAGATATTTTGAGCGCTCTGAGGCCTACGGGGAAAAAGCAAATATCTTCCCATAACCACTAGACAGAAACATTCTCAGAAACTCCTTTATGACGTATGCACTCACCTAACAGAGAAGAACCTTCCTTTTGACAGAGAAGTTTTGATACACTCTTTTTGTAGAATCTGCAAGTGGATATTTGGATAGCTGTGAAGATTTCGTTGGAAACGGGAATATCTTCCTATAAAATCTAGACAGAAGCATTCTCAGAAACTGCTCTGTGATGTCTGCATTCAAGTCACAGAGTTGAACATTGCCTTTCCTAGAGCAGGTTTGAAACCCTCTTTTTGTAGTATAGGGAAGTGGACGTTTCGGACGGTTTGAGGCCCATGGTGATAAAGGGAATATCTTCCCCTACAAGCTAGAAAGAAGCATTCTGTGAAACTTGTTTGTGATGTGTGTACTCAACTAACAGAGTTGAACCTTTCTTTTTACAGAGCAGTTTTGAAACACTCTTTTTGTAGAATCTGCGAGGGGATATTTCGATAGATTTCAGGATTTCGTTGTAAACGGGAATATCTTCATATAAAATCTCGACAGAAGCATTCTAAGAAGCTTCTTTGTGATATGTGCATTCAAGTCACAGAGTTGAATATTCCCTTTCACAGAGTAGGTTTGAAACACTCTTTTTGTAGTATCTGGAAGTGGACATTTGGAGCGCCTTGACGCCTACGGTGAAAACGGAAATATCTTCTCATAAAAAGTAGACAGAAGCAATCTCAGAATATTCTTTGGGATATATGCACGCAGCTAACAGAGTTGAACCTTTCTATTGACAGAGCAGTTTTGAAACAGTCTTTCTGTGGAATCTGCAAGTGGATATTTGGATAGCTTGGAGGATTTCGTTGGAAACGGGATTACGTATAAAAAGTAGACAGCAGCACCTCAGAAACTTCTTTGTGATGTGTGCATTCAAGTCACAGAGTTGAACATTCCCTTTCGTACAGCAGTTTTGAAACACTCTTTCTGTAGTATCTGGAAGTGAACATTAGGACAGCTTTCAGCTCTATGGTGAGAAAGGAAATATCTTCAAATAAAAACTAGACAGAAGCATTCTCATAAAATTGTTTGTGATGTGTGAACTCAGCTAACAGAGGTGGATATTTCTTTTGATATAGTAGTTTTGAAAAACACTTTTTGTAGAATCTGAAAGTGGATATTTGGATAGATTTGAAGATTTCGTTGGAAACGGGAATATCTTCGTATAAAATCTAGACAGAAGCATTCTCAGAAACGTCTTTGTGATGTTTGCATTCAACTCATAGAGTTGAACATTCCCTTTCAGAGAGCAGCTTTGAAGCACTCTTTTTGTAGCATGTGCAAGTGGACATTTGTAGCGCCCTGAGGCCTACGGGGAAAAAGCAAATATCTTCCCATAACCACTAGACAGAAACATTCTCAGAAACTCCTTTATGACGTATGCACTCACCTAACAGAGAAGAACCTTCCTTTTGACAGAGCAGTTTTGATACACTCTTTTTGTAGAATCTGCAACTGGATATTTGGATAGCTGTGAAGATTTCGTTGGAAACGGGAATATCTTCCTATAAAATCTAGACAGAAGCATTCTCAGAAACTGCTCTGTGATGTCTGCATTCAAGACACAGAGTTCAACATTGCCTTTCATAGAGCAGGTTTGAAACGCTCTTTTTGTAGTATATGGAAGTGGATGTTTCGGACGGTTGGAGGCCCATGGTGATAAAGGGAATATCTTCCCCTACAAGCTAGAAAGAAGCATTCTGTGAAACTTGTTTGTGATGTGTGTACTCAACTAACAGAGTTGAACCTTTCTTTTCACAGAGCAGTTTTGAAACACTCTTTTTCTAGAATCTGCGAGGGGATATTTGGATAGATTTCAGGATTTCATTGGAAACGGGTATATCTTCATATAAAATCTCGACAGAAGCATTCTCAGAAGCTTCTTTGTGATATGTGCATTCAAGTCACAGAGTTGAATATTCCCTTTCACAGAGTAGGTTTGAGACACTCTTTTTGTAGTATCTGGAAGTGGACATTTGGAGCACATTGACGCCTACGGTGAAAAGGGAAATATCTTCTCATAAAAAGTAGACAGAAGCAATCTCAGAATCTTCTTTGGGATATATGCACGCAGCTAACAGAGTTTAACCTTTCTATTGACAGAGCAGTTTTGAAACAGTCCTTCTGTGGAATCTGCAAGTGGATATTTGGATAGATTGGAGGATTTCGTTGGAAACGGGATTACGTATAAAAAGTAGACAGCAGCATCCTCAGAAACTTCTTTGTGATGTGTGCATTCATGTCACAGTGTTGAACATTCCCTTTCGTACAGCCGTTTTGAAACACTCTTTCTGTAGTATCTCTAAGTGAACATTAGGACATCTTTCAGGTCTATGGTGAGAAAGGAAATATCTTCAAATAAAAACTAGACAGAAGCATTCTCATAAACTTGTTTGTGATGTGTGAACTCAGCTAACAGAGGTGAATCTTTCTTTTGAAAGAGCAGTTCTGAAAAACACTTTTTGTTGAATCTGCAAGTGGACATTTGGATAGATTTGAAGATTTCGTTGGAAACGGGAATATCTTCATATCAAATCTAGACAGAAGCATTCTCGGAAACGTCTTTGTCATGTTTGCATTCAACTCATAGAGTTGAACATTCCGTTTCAGAGAGCAGCTTTGAAGCACTCTTTTTGTAGTATGTGCAAGTGGATATTTGGAGCGCTCTGAGGCCTAAGATGAAAAAGCAAATATCTTCCCATAACCACTAGACAGAAACATTCTCAGAAACTCCTTTATGACGTATGTACTCAACTAACAGAGAAGAACCTTCCTTTTGAAAGAGCAGTTTTGATACACTCTTTTTGTAGAATCTGCAAGTGGATATTTGGATAGCTGTGAAGATTTCGTTGGAAACGGGAATATCTTCCTATAAAATCTAGACAGAAGCATTCTCAGAAACTGCTCTGTGATGTCTGCATTCAAGTCACAGAGTTGAACATTGCCTTTCATAGAGCAGGTTTGAAAGGCTCTTTTTGTACTATATGGAACAGGACGTTTCGAACGGTTTGAGGACCATGGTGATAAAGGGAATATCTTCCCCTACAAGCTAGAAAGAAGCATTCTGTGAAACTTGTTTGTGATGTGTGTACTCAACTAACAGTGTTGAACCTTTCTTTTTACAGAGCAGTTTTGAAACACTCTTTTTGTAGAATCTGCGAGGGGAAATTTGGATAGATTTCAGGATTTCGTTGGAAACGGGAATATCTTCATACAAAATCTCGACAGAAGCATTCTCAGAAACTTCTTTGTGATATGTGCATTCAAGTCACAGAGTTGAATATTCCCTTTCACAGAGTAGGTTTGAAACACTCTTTTTGTAGTATCTGGAAGTGGACATTTGGAGCGCCTTGACTGCCTACGGTGAAAAGGGAAATATCTTCCCATAAAAACTAGACAGAAACAATCTCAGAATCTTCTTTGGGATATATGTACGCAGCTAACAGAGTTGAACCTTTCTATTGACAGAGCAGTTTTGAAACAGTCTTTCTGTGGAATCTGCAAGTGGATATTTGGATAGCTTGGAGGATTTCGTTGGAAACGGGATTACGTATAAAAAGTAGACAGCAGCATCCTCAGAAACTTCTTTGTGATGTGTGCATTCAAGTCACAAGGTTGAACATTCCCTTTCATACAGCAGTTTTGAAACGCTCTTTCTGTAGTATCTGGAAGTGAACTTTAGGACAGCTTTCAGGTCTATGGTGAGAAAGGAAATATCTTCAAATAAAAACTAGACAGAAGCATTCTCATAAACTTGTTTGTGATGTGTGAACTCAGCTAACAGAGGTGGATCTTTCTTTTGATAGAGCAGTTCTGAAAAACACTTTTTGATGAATCTGCAAGTGGACATTTGGATAGATTTGAAGATTTCTTTGGAAACGGGAATATCTTCATATCAAATCTAGACAGAAGCATTCTCAGAGACGTCTTTGTGATGTTTGCATTCAACTCATAGAGTTGAACATTCCCTTTCAGAGAGCAGCTTTGAAGCACTCTTTTTGTAGCATGTGCAAGTGGACATTTGGAGCGCCCTGAGGCCTACGGGGAAAAAGCAAATATCTTCCCATAACCACTAGACAGAAACATTCTCAGAAACTCCTTTATGACGTATGTACTCAACTAACAGAGAAGAACCTTCCTTTTGACAGAGCAGTTTTGATACACTCTTTTTGTAGAATCTGCAAATGGATATTTGGATAGCTGTGAAGATTTCGTTGGAAACGGGAATATCTTCCTATAAAATCTAGACAGAAGCATTCTCAGAAACAGCTCTGTGATGTCTGCATTCAAGTCACAGAGTTGAACATTGCCTTTCATAGAGCAGGTTTGAAACGCTCTTTTTGTAGTATATGTAACTGGAGGTTTCGGACGGTTTGAGGCCCATGGTGATAAAGGGAATATCTTCCCCTACAAGCTAGAAAGAAGCATTCTGTGAAACTTGTTTGTGATGTGTGTACTCAACTAACAGAGTTGAAACTTTCTTTTTACAGAGCAGTTTTGAAACACTCTTTTTGTAGAATCTGCGAGGGGATATTTGGATAGATTTCAGGATTCCGTTGGAAACGGGAATATCTTCATATAAAATCTCGACAGAAGCATTCTCAGAAACTTCATTGTGATATCTGCATTCAAGTCACAGAGTTGAATATTCCCTTTCAGAGAGTAGGTTTGAAACACTCTTTTTGGAGTATCTGGAAGTGGACATTTGGAGTGCCTTGACACCTACGGTGAAAAGGGAAATATCTTCCCATAAAAACTAGACAGAAGCAATCTCAGAATCTTCTTTGGGATATATGCACGCAGCTAACAGAGTTGAACCTTTCTATTGACAGAGCAGTTTTGAAACAGTCTTTCTGTGGAATCTGCAAGTGGATATTTGGATAGCTTGGAGGATTTCGTTAGAAACGGGATTACGTATAAAAAGTAGACAGCAGCATCCTCAGAAACTTCTTTGTGATGTGTGCATTCAAGTCAAAGAGTTGAACATTCCCTTTCATACAGCAGTTTTGAAACACTCTTTCTGTAGTATCTGGAAGTGAACATTAGGACAGCTTTCAGCTCTATGGTGAGAAAGGAAATATCTTCAAATAAAAACTAGACAGAAGCATTCTCATAAACTTGTTTGTGAGGTGTGAACTCAGCTAACAGAGGTGGATCTTTCTTTTGATAGAGCAGTTCTGAAAAACACTTTTTGTTGAATCTGCAAGTGGACATTTGGATAGATTTGAAGATTTCGTTGGAAACGGGAATATCTTCATATCAAATCTAGACAGAAGCATTCTCAGAAACGTCTTTGTGATGTTGGCATTCAACTCATAGAGTTGAACATTCCGTTTCAGAGAGCAGCTTTGAGGCACTCTTTTTGTAGTATGTGCAAGTAGATATTTGGAGCGCTCTGAGGCCTACGGTGAAAAAGCAAATATCTTCCCATAACCACTAGACAGAAACATTCTCAGAAACTCCTTTATGACGTATGCACTCACCTAACAGAGAAGAACCTTCCTTTTGACAGAGCAGTTTTGATACACTCTTTTTGTAGAATCTGCAAGTGGATATTTGGATACCTGTGAAGATTTCGTTGGAAACGGGAATATCTTCCTATAAAATGTAGACAGAAGCATTCTCAGAAACTGCTCTGTGATGTCTGCATTCAAGTCACAGAGTTGAACATTGCCTTTCATAGAGCAGGTTTGAAACGCTCTTTTTGTAGTATATGGAAGTGGATGTTTCGGACGGTTGGAGGCCCATGGTGATAAAGGGAAAATCTTCTCCTACAAGCTAGAAAGAAGCATTCTGTGAAACTTGTTTGTGATGTGTGTACTCAACTAACAGAGTTGAACCTTTCTTTTTACAAAGCAGTTTTGAAACACTCTTTTTGTAGAATCTGCGAGGGGAAATTTGGATAGATTTCAGGATTTCGTTGGAAACGGGAATATCTTCATACAAAATCTCGACAGAACCATTCTCAGAAACTTCCTTGTGATATGTGCATTCAAGTCACAGAGTTGAATATTCCCTTTCACAGAGTAGGTTTGAAACACTCTTTTTGTAGTATCTGGAAGTGGACATTTGGAGCGCCTTGACGCCTACGGTGAAAAGGGAAATATCTTCCCATAAAAACTAGACAGAAGCAATCTCAGAATCTGCTTTGGGATATATGCACGCAGCTAACAGAGTTGAACCTTTCTATTGACAGAGCAGTTTTGAAACAGTCTTTCTGTGGAATCTGCAAGTGGATATTTGGATAGCTTGGAGGATTTCGTTGGAAACGGGATTAAGTATAAAAAGTAGACAGCAGCATCCTCAGAAACTTCCTTGTGATGTGTGCATTCAAGTCACAGAGTTGAACATTCCCTTTCGTACAGCAGTTTTGAAACACTCTTTCTGTAGTATCTGGAAGTGAACTTTAGGAGAGCTTTAAGGTCTATAGTGAGAAAGGATATATTTTCAAATAAAAACTAGACAGAAGCATTCTGATAAACTTGTTTGTGAAGTGTGATCTCAGCTAACAGAGGTGGATCTTTCTTTTGATAGAGCAGTTCTGAAAAACACTTTGTTGAATCTGCAAGTGGACATTTGGATAGATTTGAAGATTTCATTGGAAACGGGAATATCTTCATATCAAATCTAGACAGAAGCATTCTCAGAAACGTCTTTGTGATGTTTGCATTCAACTCATAGAGTTGAACATTCCGTTTCAGAGAGCAGCTTTGAAGCACTCTTTTTGTAGTACGTGCAAGTGGATATTTGGAGTCCTCTGAGGCCTAAGGTGAAAAAGCAAATATCTTCCCACAACCACTAGACAGAAACATTCTCAGAAACTCCTTTATGACGTATGCACTCACCTAACAGAGAAGAACCTTCCTTTGGACAGAGCAGTTTTGATACACTCTTTTTGTAGAATCTGCAATTGGATATTTGGATAGCTGTGAAGATTTCGTTGGAAACGGGAATATCTTCCTATAAAATCTAGACAGAAGCATTCTCAGTAACTGCTCTGTGATGTCTGCATTCAAGTCACAGAGTTGAACATTGCCTTTCATAGAGCAGGTTTGAAACACTCCTTTTTTAGTATATGGAAGTGGACGTTTCGGACGGTTTGAGGCCCATGGTGATAAAGGGAATATCTTCCCCTACAAGCTAGAAAGAAGCATTCTGTGAAACTTGTTTGTGATGTGTGTACTCAACTAACAGAGTTGAACCTTTCTTTTTACAGAGCAGTTTTGAAACACTCTTTTTGTACAATCTGTGAGGGGGTATTTGGATAGATTTCAGGATTTCGTTGGAAACGGGAATATCTTCATATAAAATCTCAACAGAAGCATTCTCAGAAACTTCTTTGTGATATGTGCATTCAAGTCACAGAGTTGAATATTCCCTTTCACAGAGTAGGTTTGAAACACTCTTTTTGTAGTATCTGGAAGTGGACATTTGGAGCGCCTCGACGCCTACGGTGAAAAGGGAAATATCTTCTCATAAAAAGTAGACAGAAGCAATCTCAGAATCTTCTTTGGGATATATGCACGCAGCTAACAGAGTTGAACCTTTCTATTGACAGAGCAGTTTTGAAACAGTCTTTCTGTGGAATATGCAAGTGGATATTTGGATAGCTTGGAGGATTTCGTTGGAAACGGGATTACGCATAAAAAGTAGACAGCAGCATCCTCAGTAAACTTCTTTGTGATGTGTGCTTTCAAGTCACAGTGTTGAACATTCCCTTTCGTACAGCAGTTTTGAAACACTCTTTCTGTAGTATCTGGAAGTGAACATTAGGACAGCTTTCAGGTCTATGGTGAGAAAGGAAATATCTTCAAATAAAAACTAGACAGAAGCATTCTCATAAACTTGTTTCTGATGTGTGAACTCAGCTAACAGAGGTGGATCTTTCTTTTGATAGAGCAGTTCTGAAAAACACTTTTTGTTGAATCTGCAAGTGGACATTTGGATAGATTTGAAGATTTCTTTGGAAACGGGAATATCTTCATATCAAATCTAGACAGAAGCATTCTCAGAAACGTCTTTGTGATGTTTGCATTCAACTCATAGAGTTGAAAATTCCCTTTCAGAGAGCAGCTTTGAAGCACTCTTTTTGTAGTATGTGCAAGTGGATATTTGGAGCGCTCTGAGGCCTACGGTGAAAAAGCAAATATCTTCCCATAACCACTAGACAGAAACATTCTCAGAAACTCCTTTATGACGTGTGCACTCACCTAACAGAGAAGAACCTTCCTTTTTACAGAGCAGTTTTGATACACTCTTTTTGTAGAATCTGCAAGTGGATATTTGGATAGCTGTGAAGATTTCGTTGGAAACGGTAATATCTTCCTATAAAATCTAGACAGAAGCATTCTCAGAAACGTCTTTCCGATGTTTGCATTCAACTCATAGAGTTGAACATTCCCTTTCAGAGAGCAGCTTTGAAGCACTCTTTTTGTACCATGTGCAAGTGGACATTTGGAGGGCCCTGAGGCCTACGGGGAAAAAGCAAATATCTTCCCATAACCACTAGACAGAAACATTCTCAGAAACTCCTTTATGACGTATGCACTCACCTAACAGAGAAGAACCTTCCTTTTTACAGAGCAGTTTTGAAACACTCTTTTTGTAGAATCTGCGAGGGGATATTTGGATAGATTTCAGGATTTCGTTGGAAACGGGAATATCTTCATATAAAATCTCGACAGAAGCATTCTCAGAAACTTCTTTGTGATATGTGCATTCAAGTCACAGAGTTGAATATTCCCTTTCACAGAGTAGGTTTGAAACACTCTTTTTGTAGTATCTGGAAGTGGACATTTGGAGCGCCTTGACACCTACAGTGAAAAGGGAAATATCTTCCCATAAAAACTAGACAGAAGCAATCTCAGAATCTTCTTTGGGATATATGTACGCAGCTAACAGAGTTGAACCTTTCTATTGACAGAGCAGTTTTGAAACAGTCTTTCTGTGGAATCTGCAAGTGGATATTTGGATAGCTTGGAGGATTTCTTTGGAAACGGGATTACGTATAAAAAGTAGACAGCAGCATCCTCAGAAACTTCTTTGTGATGTGTGCATTCAAGTCACAGAGTTGAACATTCCCTTTCGTACAGCAGTTTTGAAACACTCTTTCTGTAGTATCTGGAAGTGAACATTAAGACAGCTTTCAGGTCTATGGTGAGAAAGGAAATATCTTCAAATAAAAACTAGACAGAAGCATTCTCATAAACTTGTTTGTGATGTGTGAACTCAGCTAACAGAGGTGGATCTTTCTTTTGATAGAGCAGTTCTGAAAAACCCTTTTTGTTGAATCTGCAAGTGGACATTTGGATAGATTTGAAGATTTCGTTGGAAACGGGAATATCTTCATATCAAATCTAGACAGAAGCATTCTCAGAAACGTCTTTGTGATGTTTGCATTCAACTCATAGAGTTGAACATTCCCTTTCAGAGACCAGCTTTGAAGCACTCTTTTTGTAGTATGTGCAAGTGGATATTTGGAGCGCTCTGAGGCCTACGGTGAAAAAGCAAATATCTTCCCATAACCACTAGACAGAAACATTCTCAGAAACTCCTTTATGACGTATGCACTCACCTAACAGAGAAGAACCTTCCTTTTGACAGAGCAGTTTTGATACACTCTTTTTGTAGAATCTGCAAGTGGATATTTGGATACCTGTGAAGATTTCGTTGGAAACGGGAATATCTTCCTATAACATACTAGACAGAAGCATTCTCAGCAAACTGCTCTGTGATGTCTGCATTCAAGTCACAGAGTTGAACATTGCCTTTCATAGAGCAGGTTTGAAACGCTCTTTTTGTAGTATATGGAAGTGGACTTTTCGGACGGTTTGAGGCCCATGGTGATAAAGGGAATATCTTCCCCTACAAGCTAGAAAGAAGCATTCTGTGAAACTTGTTTGTGATGTGTGTACTCAACTAACAGAGTTGAACCTTTCTTTTTACAGAGCAGTTTTGAAACACTCTTTTTGTAGAATCTGCGAGGGGAAATTTGGATAGATTTCAGGATTTCGTTGGAAACGGGAATATCTTCATACAAAATCTCGACAGAAGCATTCTCAGAAACTACTTTGTGATATCTGCATTCAAGTCACAGAGTTGAATATTCCCTTTCACAGAGTAGGTTTGAAACACTCTTTTTGTAGTATCTGGAAGTGGACATTTGGAGCGCCTTGACACCTACGGTGAAAAGGGAAATATCTTCCCATAAAAACTAGACAGAAGCAATCTCAGAATCTTCTTTGGGATATATGCACGCAGCTAACAGAGTTGAACCTTTCTATTGAGAGAGCACTTTTGAAAGAGTCTTTCTGTGGAATCTGCAAGTGGATATTTGGATAGCTTGGAGGATTTCGTTGGAAACGGGATTACGTATAAAAAGTAGACAGCAGCATCCTCAGAAACATCCTTGTGATGTGTGCATTCAAGTCACAGAGTTGAACATTCCCTTTCGTACAGCAGTTTTGAAACACTCTTTCTGTAGTATCTGGAAGTGAACTTTAGGAGAGCTTTCAGGTCTATAGTGAGAAAGGATATATCTTCAAATAAAAGCTAGACAGAAGCATTCTCATAAACTTGTTTGTGATGTGTGAACTCAGCTAACAGAGGTGGATCTTTCTTTTGATAGAGCAGTTCTAAAAAACACTTTTTGTTGAATCTGCAAGTGGACATTTGGATAGATTTGAAGATTTCGTTGGAAACGGGAATATCTTCATATCAAATCTAGACAGAAGCATTCTCAGAAACGTCTTTGCGATGTTTGCATTCAACTCATAGAGTTGAACATTCCGTTTCAGAGAGCAGCTTTGAGGCACTCTTTTTGTAGTATGTGCAAGTGGATATTTGGAGCGCTCTGAGGCCTACAGTGAAAAAGCAAATATCTTCCCATAACCACTAGACAGAAACATTCTCAGAAACTCCTTTATGACGTATGTACTCAACTAACAGAGAAGAACCTTCTTTTTGACAGAGCAGTTTTGATACACTCTTTTTGTAGAATCTGCAAGTGCATATTTGGATAGCTGTGAAGATTTCGTTGGAAACGGGAATATCTTCCTATAAAATCTAGACAGAAGCATTCTCAGAAACTGCTCTGTGATGTCTGCATTCAAGTCACAGAGTTGAACATTGCCTTTCATAGAGCAGGTTTGAAATGCTCTTTTTGTAGTATATGGAAGTGGACTTTTCGGACGGTTTGAGGCCCATGGTGATAAAGGGGAATATCTTCCCCTACAAGCTAGAAAGAAGCATTCTGTGAAACTTGTTTGTGATGTGTGTACTCAACTAACAGAGTTGAACCTTTCATTTTACAGAGCAGTTTAGAAACACTCTTTTTGTAGAATCTGCGAGGGGATATTTGGATAGATTTCAGGATTTCGTTGGAAAGGGGAATATCTTCATTTAAAATCTCGACAGAAGCATTCTCAGAAGCTTCTTTGTGATATGTGCATTCAAGTCACAGAGTTGAATATTCCCTTTCACAGAGTAGGTTTGAAACACACTTTTTATAGTATCTGGAAGTGGACATTTGGAGCGCCTTGATGCCTACGGTGAAAAGGGAAATATCTTCCCATAAAAACTAGACAGATAAGCAATCTCAGAATCTTCTTTGGGATATATGCACGCAGCTAACAGAGTTGAACCTTTCTATTGACAGAGCAGTTTTGAAACAGTCTTTCTGTGGAATCTGCAAGTGGATATTTGGATAGATTGGAGGATTTCGTTGGAAACGGGATTACGTATAAAAAGTAGACAGCAGCATCCTCAGAAACTTCTTTGTGATGTGTGCATTCAAGTCAGAGTGTTGAACATTCCCTTTCGTACAGCAGTTTTGAAACACTCTTTCTGTAGTATCTGGAAGTGAACATTAAGACAGCTTTCAGGTCTATGGTGAGAAAGGAAATATCTTCAAATAAAAACTAGACAGAAGCATTCTCATAAACTTGTTTGTGATGTGTGAACTCAGCTAACAGAAGTGGATCTTTCTTTTGATAGAGCAGTTCTGAAAAACACTTTTTGTTGAATCTGCAAGTGGACATTTGAAAAGATTTGAAGATTTCGTTGGAAACGGGAATATCTTCATATCAAATCTAGACAGAAGCATTCTCAGAAACGTCTTTGTGATGTTTGCATTCAACTCATAGAGTTGAATATTCCCTTTCAGAGAGCAGCTGTGAAGCACTCTTTTTGTAGTATGTGCAAGTGGATATTTGGAGCGCTCTGAGGCCTACGGTGAAAAAGCAAATATCTTCCCATAACCACTAGACAGAAACATTCTCAGAAACTCCTTTATGACGTATGCACTCACCTAACAGAGAAGAACCGTCCTTTTGACAGAGCAGTTTTGATACACTCTTTTTGTAGAATCTGCAAGTGGATATTTGGATAGCTGTGAAGATTTCGTTGGAAACGGGAATATCTTCCTATAAAATCTAGACAGAAGCATTCTCAGAAACTGCTCTGTGATGTCTGCATTCAAGTCACAGAGTTGAACATTGCCTTTCATACAGCAGGTTTGAAATGCTCTTTTTGTAGTATATGGAAGTGGACGTTTCAGACGGTTTGAGGCCCATGGTGATAAAGGGAATATCTTCCCCTACAAGCTAGAAAGAAGCATTGTGTGAAACTTATTTGTGATGTGTGTACTCAACTAACAGAGTTGAACCTTTCTTTTTACAGAGCAGTTTTGAAACACTCTTTTTGTAGAATCTGCGAGGGGATATTTGGATACATTTCAGGATTTCGTTGGAAACGGGAATATCTTCATATAAAATCTCGACAGAAGCATTCTCAGAAGCTTCTTTGTGATATGTGCATTCAAGTCACAGAGTTGAATATTCCCTTTCACAGAGTAGGTTTGAAACACACTTTTTGTAGTATCTGGAAGTGGACATTTGGAGCGCCTTGATGCCTACGGTGAAAAGGGAAATATCTTCTCATAAAAAGTAGACAGAAGCAATCTCAGTAATCTTCTTTGGGATATATGCACGCAGCTAACAGTAGTTGAACCTTTCTATTGACAGAGCAGTTTTGAAACAGTCTTTCTGAGGAATCTGCAAGTGGATATTTGGATAGCTTGGAGGATTTCGTTGGAAACGGGATTACGTATAAAAAGTAGACAGCAGCATCCTCAGAAACTTCTTTGTGATGTGTGCATTCAAGTCACAGAGTTGAACATTCCCTTTCGTACGGCAGTTTTGAAACACTCTTTCTGTAGTATCTGGAAGTGAACATTAGGACAGCTTTCAGGTCTATGGTGAGAAAGGAAATATCTTCAAATAAAAACTAGACAGAAGCATTCTCATAAACTTGTTTGTGATGTGTGAACTCAGCTAACAGAGGTGGATCTTTCTTTTGATAGAGCAGTTCTGAAAAACACTTTTTGTTGAATCTGCAAGTGGACATTTGGATAGATTTGAAGATTTTGTTGGAAACGGGAATATCTTCATATCAAATCTAGACAGAAGCATTCTCAGAAACGTCTTTGTGATGTTTGCATTCAACTCATAGAGTTGAACATTCCGTTTCAGAGAGCAGCTTTGAGGCACTCTTTTTGTAGTATGTGCAAGTGGATATTTGGAGCGCTCTGAGGCCTACGGTGAAAAAGCAAATATCTTCCCATAACCACTAGAGAGAAACATTCTCAGAAACTCCTTTATGACGTATGCACTCACCTAACAGAAAAGAACCTTCCTTTTGACAGAGCAGTTTTGATACACTCTTTTTGTAGAATCTGCAAGTGGATATTTGGATAGCTGTGAAGATTTCGTTGGAAACGGGAATATATTCGTATAAAATCTAGACAGAAGCATTCTCAGAAACTGCTCTGTGATGTCTGCATTCAAGTCACAGAGTTGAACATTGCCTTTCCTAGAGCAGGTTTGAAACGCTCTTTTTGTAGTATATGGAAGTGGATGTTTCGTACGGTTGGAGGCCCATGGTGATAAAGGGAATATCTTCCCCTACAAGCTAGAAAGAAGCATTCTGTGAAACTTGTTTGAGATGTGTGTACTCAACTAACAGTGTTGAACCTTTCTTTATACAGAGCAGTTTTGAAACACTCTTTTTGTAGAATCTGCGAGGGGATATTTGGATAGATTTCAGGATTTCGTTGGAAACGGGAATATCTTCATATAAAATCTCGACAGAAGCATTCTCTGAAACTTCTTTGTGATATGTGCATTCAAGTCACAGAGTTGAATATTCCCTTTCACAGAGTAGGTTTGAAACACTCTTTTTGTAGTATCTGGAAGTGGACATTTGGAGCGCCTTGACGCCTACGGTGAACAGGGAAATATCTTCTCATAAAAAGTAGACAGAAGCAATCTCAGAATCTTCTTTGGGATATATGCACGCAGCTAACATAGTTGAACCTTTCTATTGACAGAGCAGTTTTGAAACAGTCTTTCTGTGGAATCTGCAAGTGGATATTTGGATAGCTTGGAGGATTTCGTTGGAAACGGGATTACGTATAAAAAGTAGACAGCAGCATCCTCAGAAACTTCTTTGTGATGTGTGCATTCAAGTCACAGAGTTGAACATACCCTTTCGTACAGCAGTTTTGAAACACTCTTTCTGTAGCATCTGGAAGTGAACATTAGGACAGCTTTCAGGTCTATGGTGAGAAAGGAAATATCTTCAAATAAAAACTAGACAGAAGCATTCTCATAAACTTGTTTGTGATGTGTGAACTCAGCTAAGAGACGTGGATCTTTCTTTTGATAGAGCAGTTCTGAAAAACACTTTTTGTTGAATCTGCAAGTGGACATTTGGACAGATTTGAAGATTTCTTTGGAAACGGGAATATCTTCATATCAAATCTAGACAGAAGCATTCTCAGAAACGTCTTTGTGATGTTTGCATTCAACTCATAGAGTTGAACATTCCGTTTCAGAGAGCAGCTTTGAGGCACTCTTTTTGTAGTATGTGCAAGTGGATATTTGGAGCGCTCTGAGGCCCTCGGTGAAAAAGCAAATATCTTCCCATAACCACTAGACAGAAACATTCTCACAAACTCCTTTATGACGTATGTACTCAACTAACAGAGAAGAACCTTCCTTTTGACAGAGCAGTTTTGATACACTCTTTTTGTAGAATCTGCAAGTGGATATTTGGATAGCTGTGAAGATTTCGTTGGAAACGGGAATACCTTCCTATAAAATCTAGACAGAAGCATTCTCAGAAACTGCTCTGTGATGTCTGCATTCAAGTCACAGAGTTGAACATTGACTTTCATAGAGCAGGTTAGAAACGCTCTTTTTGTACTATATGGAAGAGGACGTTTCGGACGGTTTGAGGACCATGGTGATAAAGGGAATATCTTCCCCTACAAGCTAGAAAGAAGCACTCTGTGAAACTTGTTTGTGATGTGTGTATTCAACTAACAGAGTTGAACCTTTCTTTTTACAGAGCAGTTTTGAAACACTCTTTTTGTAGAATCTGCGAGGGGATATTTGGATAGATTTCAGGATTTCGTTGGAAACGGGAATATCTTCATATAAAATCTCGACAGAAGCATTCTCAGAAACTTCTTTGTGATATCTGCCTTCAAGTCACAGAGTTGAATATTCCCTTTCACAGAGTAGGTTTGAAACACTCTTTTTGTAGTATCTGGAAGTGGACATTTGGAGTGCCTTGACGCCTACGGTGAAAAGGGAAATATCTTCCCATAAAAACTAGACAGAAGCAATCTCAGAATCTTCTTTGGGATATATGCACGCAGCTAACAGAGTTGAACCTTTCTATTGACAGAGCAGTTTTGAAACAGTCTTTCTGTGGAATCTGCAAGTGGATATTTGGATAGCTTGGAGGATTTCGTTGGAAACGGGATTACGTATAAAAAGTAAACAGCAGCATCCTCAGAAACTTCTTTGTGATGTGTGCATTCAAGTCACAGAGTTGAACATTCCCTTTCGTACAGCAATTTTGAAACACTCTTTCTGTAGTATCTGGAAGTGAACATTAGGACAGCTTTCAGCTCTATGGTGAGAAAGGAAATATCTTCAAATAAAAACTAGACAGAAGCATTCTCATAAACTTGTTTATGATGTGTGAACTCAGCTAACAGAGGTGGATCTTTCTTTTGATAGAGCAGTTCTGAAAAACACTTTTTGTTGAATCTGCAAGTGGACATTTGGATAGATTTGAAGATTTCGTTGGAAACGGGAATATCTTCATATCAAATCTAGACAGAAGCATTCTCAGAAACGTCTTTGTGATGTTTGCATTCAACTCATAGAGTTGAACATTCCGTTTCAGAGAGCAGCTTTGAGGCACTCTTTTTGTAGTATGTGCAAGTGGATATTTGGTGCGCTGTGAGGCCAACGGTGAAAAAGCAAATATCTTCCCATAACCACTAGACAGAAACATTCTCAGAAACTCCTTTATGACGTATGCACTCACCTAACAGAGAAGAACCTTCCTTTTGACAGAGAAGTTTTGATACACTCTTTTTGTAGAATCTGCAAGTGGATATTTGGATACCTGTGAAGATTTCGTTGGAAACGGGAATATCTTCCTATAAAATCTAGACAGAAGCATTCTCAGAAACTGCTCTGTGATGTCTGCATTCAAGTCACAGAGTTGAACATTGCCTTTCATAGAGCAGGTTTGAAACACTCTTTTTGTAGTATATGGAAGTGGACGTTTCGGACGGTTTGAGGCCCATGGTGATAAAGGGAATATCTTCCCCTACAAGCTAGAAAGAAGCATTGTGTGAAACTTGTTTGTGATGTGTGTACTCAACTAACAGAGTTGAACCTTTCTTTTTACAGAGCAGTTTTGAAACACTCTTTTTGTAGAATCTGCGAGGGGATATTTGGATAGATTTCAGGATTTCGATGGAAACGGGAATATCTTCATATAAAATCTCGACAGAAGCATTCTCAGAAACTTCTTTGTGATATCTGCATTCAAGTCACAGAGTTGAATATTCCCTTTCACAGAGTAGGTTTGAAACACTCTTTTTGTAGTATCTGGAAGTGGACATTTGGAGCACCTTGACACCTACGGTGAAAAGGGAAATATCTTCCCGATAAAAACTAGACAGAAGCAATCTCAGAATCTTCTTTGGGATATATGCACGCAGCTAACAGCAGTTGAACCTTTCTATTGACAGAGCAGTTTTGAAACAGTCTTTCTGTGGAATCTGCAAGTGGATATTTGGATAGCTTGGAGGATTTCTTTGGAAACGGGACTACGTGTAAAAAGTAGACAGCAGCATCCTCAGAAACTTCTTTGTGATGTGTGCATTCAAGTCACAGAGTTGAATATTCCCTTTCGTACAGCAGTTTTGAAAAACTCTTTCTGTAGTATCTGGAAGTGAACATTAGGACAGCATTCAGGTCTATGGTGAGAAAGGAAATATCTTCAAATAAAAACTACACAGAGGCATTCTCATAAACTTGTTTGTGATGTGTGAACTCAGCTAACAGACGTGGATCTTTCTTTTGATACAGCAGTTTTGAAAAACACTTTTTGTTGAATCTGAAAGTGGACATTTGGATAGATTTGAAGATTTCCTTGGAAACGGGAATATCTTCATATCAAATCTAGACAGAAGCATTCTCAGAGACGTCTTTGTAATGTTTGCATTCAACTCATAGAGTTGAACATTCCCTTTCAGAGAGCAGCTTTGAAGCACTCTTTTTGTAGCATGTGCAAGTGGACATTTGGAGCGCCCTGAGGCCTACGGTGAAAAAGCAAATATCTTCCCATAACCACTAGACAGACAAACATTCTCAGAAACTCCTTTATGACGTATGCACTCACCTAACAGAAAAGAACCTTCCTTTTGACAGAGCAGTTTTGATACACTCTTTTTGTAGAATCTGCAAGTGGATATTTGGATAGCTGTGAAGATTTCGTTGGAAACGGGAATATCTTCCTATAAAATCTAGACAGAAAGCATTCTCAGAAACTGCTCTGTGATGTCTGCATTCAAGTCACAGAGTTGAACATTGCCTTTCATAGAGCAGGTTTGAAACGCTCTTTTTGTAGTATATGGAAGTAGACGTTTCGGACGGCTTGAGGCCCATGGTGATAAAGGGAATATCTTACCCTACAAGCTAGAAAGAAACATTCTCAGAAACTCCTTTATGAAGTATGCACTCACCTAACAGAGAAGAACCTTCCTTTTGACAGAGCAGTTTTGATACACTCTTTTTGTAGAATCTGCAAGTGGATATTTGGATAGCTGTGAAGATTTCATTGGAAACGGGAATATCTTCCTATAAAATCTAGACAGAAGCATTCTCAGAAACTTCTTTGTGATATCTGCATTCAAGTCACAGAGTTGAATATTCCCTTTCACAGAGTAGGTTTGAAACACTCTTTTTGTAGTATCTGGAAGTGGACATTTGGAGCGCCTTGATGCCTACGGTGAAAAGGGAAATATCTTCCCATAAAAACTAGACAGAAGCAATCTCAGAATCTTCTTTGGGATATATGCACGCAGCTAACAGAGTTGAACCTTTCTATTGACAGAGCAGTTTTGAAACAGTCTTTCTGTGGAATCTGCAAGTGGATATTTGGATAGCTTGGAGGATTTTGTTGGAAACGGGATTACGTATAAAAAGTAGACAGCAGCATCCTCCGAAACTACTTTGTGATGTGTGCATTCAAGTCACAGAGTTGAACATTCCCTTTCGTACAGCAGTTTTGAAACACTCTTTCTGTAGTATCTGGAAGTGAACATTAGGACAGCTTTCAGCTCTATGGTGAGAAAGGAAATATCTTCAAATAAAAACTAGACAGAAGCATTCTCATAAACCTTTTTGTGATGTGTGAACTCAGCTAACAGAGGTGGATCTTTCTTTTGATAGAGCAGTTCTGAAAAACACTTTTTGTTGAATATGCAAGTGGATATTTGGATAGATTTGAAGATTTCGTTGGAAACGGGAATATCTTCATATCAAATCTAGACAGAAGCATTCTCAGAAACGTCTTTGTGATGTTTGCATTCAACTCATAGAGTTGAACATTCCGTTTCAGAGAGCAGCTTTGAGGCACTCTTTTTGTAGTATGTGCAAGTGGGTATTTGGAGCGCTCTGAGGCCTACGGTGAAAAAGCAAATATCTTCCCATAACCACTAGACAGATACATTCTCAGAAACTCCTTTATGACGTATGCACTCACCTAACAGAGAAGAACCTTCCTTTTGACAGAGCAGTTTTGATACACTCTTTTTGTAGAATCTCCAAGTGGATATTTGGATAGCTGTGAAGATTTCGTTGGAAACGGGAATATCTTCTTATGAAATCTAGACAGAAGCATTCTCAGAAACTGCTCTGTGATGTCTGCATTCAAGTCACAGAGTTGAACATTGCCTTTCATATAGCAGGTTTGAAACGCTCTTTTTGTAGTATATGGAAGTGGACTTTTCGGACGGTTTGAGGCCCATGGTGATAAAGGGAATATCTTCCCCTACAAGCTAGAAAGAAGCATTCTGTGAAACTTGTTTGTGATGTGTGTACTCAACTAACAGAGTTGAACCTTTCTTTTCACAGAGCAGTTTTGAAACACTCTTTTTGTAGAATCTGCGAGGGGAAATTTGGATAGATTTCAGGATTTCGTTGGAAACGGGAATATCTTCATACAAAATCTCGACAGAAGCATTCTCAGAAACTTCTTTGTGATATGTGCATTCAAGTCACAGAGTTGAATATTCCCTTTCACAGAGTAGGTTTGAAACACTCTTTTTGTACTATCTGGAAGTGGACATTTGGAGCGCCTTGACGCCTACGGTGAAAAGGGAAATATCTTCCCATAAAAACTAGACAGAAGCAATCTCAGAATCTTCTTTGGGATATATGCACGCAGCTAATAGAGTTGAACTTTTCTATTGACAGAGCAGATTTCAAACAGTGTTTCTGTGGAATCTGCAAGTGGATATTTGGATAGCCTGGAGGATTTCGTTGGAAACGGGATTACGTATAAAAAGTAGACAGCAGCATCCTCAGAAACTTCTTTGTGATGTGTGCATTCAAGTCACAGAGTTGAACATTCCCTTTCGTACAACAGTTTTGAAACACTCTTTCTGTAGTATCTGGAAGTGAACATTAGGACAGCTTTCAGCTCTATGATGAGAAAGGAAATATCTTCAAATAAAAACTAGACAGAAGCATTCTCATAAACTTGTTTGTGATGTGTGAACTCAGCTAACAGAGGTGGATCTTTCTTTTGATAGAGCAGTTCTGAAAAACACTTTTTGTTGAATCTGCAAGTGGACATTTGGATAGATTTGAAGATTTCGTTGGAAACGGGAATATCGTCATATCAAATCTAGACAGAAGCATTCTCAGAAACGTCTTTGCGATGTTTGCATTCAACTCATAGAGTTGAACATTCCGTTTCTGAGAGCAGCTTTGAGGCACTCTTTTTGTAGTATGTGCAAGTGGATATTTGGAGCGCTCTGAGGCCTACGGTGAAAAAGCAAATATCTTCCCATAACCACTAGACAGAAACATTCTCAGAAACTCCTTTATGACGTATGCACTCACCTAAGAGAGAAGAACCTTCCTTTTGACAGAGCAGTTTTGATACACTCTTTTTGTAGAATCTGCAAGTGGATATTTGGATAGCTGTGAAGATTTCGTTGGAAACGGGAATATCTTCTTATAAAATCTAGACAGAAGCATTCTCAGAAACTGCTATGTGATGTCTGCATTCAAGTCACAGAGTTGAACATTGCCTTTCCTAGAGCAGGTTTGAAACGCTCTTTTTTTAGTATATGGAAGTGGACGTTTCGGACGGTTTGAGGCCCATGGTGATAAAGGGAATATCTTCCCCTACAAGCTAGAAAGAAGCATTGTGTGAAAATTGTTTGTGATGTGTGTACTCAACTAACAGAGTTGAACCTTTCTTTTTACAGAGCAGTTTTGAAACACTCTTTTTGTAGAATCTGCGAGGGGATATTTGGATACATTTCAGGATTTCGTTGGAAACGGGAATATCTTCATATAAAATCTCGACAGAAGCATTCTCAGAAACTTCTTTGTGATATGTGCATTCAAGTCACAGAGTTGAATATTCCCTTTCACAGAGTAGGTTTGAAACACTCTTTTTGTAGTATCTGGAAGTGGACATTTGGAGCGCCTTGACGCCTACGGTGAAAAGGGAAATATCTTCCCATACAAACTAGACAGAAGCAATCTCAGAATCTTCTTTGGGATATATGCACGCAGCTAACGGAGTTGAACCTTTCTATTGACAGAGCAGTTTTGAAACAGTCTTTCTGTGGAATCTGCAAGTGGATATTTGGATAGCTTGGAGGATTTCGTTGGAAACGGGATTACGTATAAAAAGTAGACAGCAGCATCCTCAGAAACTTCTTTGTGATGTGTGCATTCAAGTCACAGAGTTGAACATTCCCTTTCGTACAGCAGTTTTGAAACACTCTTTCTGTAGTAACTGGAAGTAAACATTAGGACAGCTTTCAGGTCTATGGTGAGAAAGGAAATATCTTCAAATAAAAACTAGACAGAAGCATTCTCATAAACTTGTTTGTGATGTGTGAACTCATCTAACAGAGGTGGATCTTTCTTTTGATAGAGCAGTTCTGAAAAACACTTTTTGTTGAATCTGCAAGTGGACATTTGGATAGATTTGAAGATTTCGTTGGTAACGGGAATATCTTCATATCAAATCTAGACAGAAGCATTCTCAGAAACGTCTTTGTGATGTTTGAATTCAACTCATAGAGTTGAACATTCCGTTTCAGAGAGCAGCTTTGAAGCACTCTTTTTGTAGTATGTGCAAGGGGATATTTGGAGCGCTCTGAGGCCTACGGTGAAAAAGCAAATATCTTCCCATAACCACTAGACAGAAACATTCTCAGAAACTCCTTTATGACGTATGTACTCAACTAACAGAGAAGAACCTTCCTTTTGACAGAGCAGTTTTGATACACTCTTTTTGTAGAATCTGCAAGTGGATATTTGGATAGCTGTGAAGATTTCGTTGGAAACGGGAATATCTTCCTATAAAATCTAGACGGAAGCATTCTCAGAAACTGCTCTGTGATGTCTGCATTCAAGTCACAGAGTTGAACATTGCCTTTCATAGAGTAGGTTTGAAACGCTCTTTTTGTAGTATATGGAAGTGGACGTTTCGGACGGTTTGAGGCCCATGGTGATAAAGGGAATATCTTCCCCTACAAGCTAGAAAGAAGCATTCTGTGAAACTTGTTTGTGATGTGTGTACTCAACTAACAGAGTTGAACCTTTCTTTTTACAGAGCAGTTTTGAAACACTCTTTCTGTAGAATCTGCGAGGGGATATTTGGATACATTTCAGGATTTCGTTGGAAACGGGAATATCTTCATAGAAAATCTCGACAGAAGCATTCTCAGAAACTTCTTTGTGATATCTGCATTCAAGTCACAGAGTTGAATATTCCCTTTCACAGAGTAGGTTTGAAACACTCTTTTTGTAGTATCTGGAAGTGGACATTTGGAGCGCCTTGACACCTACGGTGAAAAGGGAAATATTTTCCCATAAAAACTAGACAGAAGCAATCTCAGAATCTTCTTTGGGATATATGCACGCAGCTAACAGAGTTGAACCTTTCTATTGACAGAGCAGTTTTGAAACAGTCTTTCTGTGGAATCTGCAAGTGGATATTTTGATAGATTGGAGGATTTCGTTGGAAACGGGATTACGTATAAAAAGTAGACAGCAGCATCCTCAGAAACTTCTTTGTGATGTGTGCATTCAAGTCACAGAGTTGAACATTCCCTTTCATACAGCAGTTTTGAAACACTCTTTCTGTAGTATCTGGAAGTGAACATTAGGACAGCTTTCAGCTCTATGGTGAGAAAGGAAATATCTTCAAATAAAAACTAGACAGAAGCATTCTCATCAACTTGTTTGTGATGTGTGAACTCAGCTAACAGAGGTGGATCTTTCTTTTGATAGAGCAGTTTTGAAAAACACTTTTTGTTGAATCTGCAAGTGGACATTTGGATAGATATGAAGATTTCGTTGGAAACGGGAATATCTTCATATCAAATCTAGACAGAAGCATTCTCAGAAACGTCTTTGTGATGTTTGCATTCAACTCATAGAGTTGAACATTCCCTTTCAGAGAGCAGCTTTGAAGCTCTCTTTTTGTAGTATGTGCAAGGGTATATTTGGAGCTCTCTGAGGCCTAAGGTGAAAAAGCAAATATCTTCCCATAACCACTAGACAGAAACATTCTCAGAAACTCCTTTATGACGTATGCACTCACCTAACAGAAAAGAACCTTCCTTTTGACAGAGCAGTTTTGATACACTCTTTTTGTAGAATCTGCAAGTGGATATTTGGATAGCTGTGAAGATTTCATTGGAAACGGGAATATCTTCCTATAAAATCTAGACAGAAGCATTCTCAGAAACTGCTCTGTGATGTCTGCATTCAAGTCACAGAGTTGAACATTGCCTTTCATAGAGCAGGTTTGAAACGCTCTTTTTGTAGTATATGGAAGTGGATGTTTCGGACGGTTGGAGGCCCATGGTGATAAAGGGAATATCTTCCCCTACAAGTCTAGAAAGAAGCATTGTGTGAAACTTGTTTGTGATGTGTGTACTCAACTAACAGATTTGAACCTTTCTTTTTACAGAGCAGTTTTGAAACACTCTTTTTGTAGAATCTGCGAGGGGATATTTGGATAGATTTCAGGATTTCGTTGGAAACGGGAATATCTTCATATAAAATCTCGACAGAAGCATTCTCAGAAAACTTCTTTGTGATATGTGCATTCAAGTCACAGAGTTGAATATTCCCTTTCACAGAGTAGGTTTGAAACACTCTTTTTGTAGTATCTGGAAGTGGACATTTGGAGCGCCTTGACACCTACGGTGAAAAGGGAAATATCTTCCCATAAAAACTAGACAGAAGCAATCTCAGAATCTTCTTTGGGATATATGCACGCAGCTAACAGAGTTGAATCTTTCTGTTGACAGAGCAGATTTGAAACAGTCTTTCTGTGGAATCTGCAAGTGGATATTTGGATAGATTGGAGGATTTCATTGGAAACGGGATTACGTATAAAAAGTAGACAGCAGAATCCTCAGAAACTTCTTTGTGATGTGTGCATTCAAGTCACAGGGTTGAACATTCCCTTTCGTACAGCAGTTTTGAAACACTCTTTCTGTAGTATCTGGAAGTGAACATTAGGACAGCTTTCAGGTCTATGGTGAGAAAGGAAATATCTTCAAATAAAAACTAGACAGAAGCATTCTCATAAACTTGTTTGTGATGTGTGGACTCAGCTAACAGAGGCGGATCTTTCTTTTGATAGAGCAGTTCGGGAAAACACTTTTTGTTGAATCTGCAAGTGGACATTTGGATAGATTTGAAGATTTCGTTGGAAACGGGAATATCTTCATATCAAATCTAGACAGAAGCATTCTCAGAAACGTCTTTGTGATGTTTGCATTCAACTCATAGAGTTGAACATTCCCTTTCAGAGAGCAGCTTTGAAGCACTCTTTTTGTAGCATGTGCAAGTGGACATTTGGAGCGCCCTGAGGCCTACGGTGAAAAAGCAAATATCTTCCCATAACCACTAGACAGAAACATTCTCAGAAACTCCTTTATGACGTATGCACTCACCTAACAGAGAAGAACCTACCTTTTGACAGAGCAGTTTTGATACACTCTTTTTGTAGAATCTGCGAGGGGATATTTGGAGAGATTTCAGGATTTCGTTGGAAACGGGAATATCTTCATATAAAATCTCGACAGAAGCATTCTCAGAAACTGCTCTGTGATGTCTGCATTCAAGTCACAGAGTTGAACATTGCCTTTCATAGAGTAGGTTTGAAACGCTTTTTTGTAGTATATGGAAGTGGATGTTTCGGACGGTTGGAGGCCCATGGTGATAAAGGGAATATCTTCCCCTACAAGCTAGAAAGAAGCATTCTGTGAAACTTGTTTGTGATGTGTGTACTCAACTAACAGAGTTGATCCTTTCTTTTTACAGAGCAGTTTTGAAACACTCTTTTTGTAGAATCTGCGAGGGGATATTTGGATAGATTTCAGGATTTCGTTGGAAACGGGAATATCTTCATATAAAATCTCGACAGAAGCATTCTCAGAAACTTCTTTGTGATATGTGCATTCAAGTCACAGAGTTGAATATTCCCTTTCACAGAGTAGGTTTGAAACACTCTTTTTGTCGTATCTAGAAGTGGACATTTGGAGTGCATTGACGCCTACGGTGAAAAGGGAAATATCTTCCCATAAAAACTAGACAGAAGCAATCTCAGAATCTTCTTTGGGATATATGCACGCAGCTAACAGAGTTGAACCTTTCTATTGACAGAGCAGTTTTGAAACAGTCTTTCTGTGGAATCTGCAAGTGGATATTTGATAGCTTGGAGGATTTCGTTGGAAACGGGATTACGTATAAAAAGTAGACAGCAGCATCCTCAGAAACTACTTTGTGATGTGTGCATTCAAGTCACAGAGTTGAAAATTCCCTTTCGTACAGCAGTTTTGAAACACTCTTTCTGTAGTATCTGGAAGTGAACATTAGGACAGCTTTCAGGTCTATAGTGAGAAAGGATATATCTTCAAATAAAAACTAGACAGAAGCATTCTCATAAACTTGTTCGTAATGTGTGAACTCAGCTAACACACGTGGATCTTTCTTTTGATAGAGCAGTTCTGAAAAACACTTTTTGTTGAATCTGCAAGTGGACATTTGGATAGATTTGAAGATTTCGTTGGAAACGGGAATATCCTTCATATCAAATCTAGACAGAAAGCATTCTCAGAAACGTCTTTGTGATGTTTGCATTCAACTCATAGAGTTGAACATTCCGTTTCAGAGACCAGCTTTGAAGCACTCTTTTTGTAGTATGTGCAAGTGGATATTTGGAGCGCTCTGAGGCCTACGGTGTAAAAGCAAATATCTTCCCATAACCACTAGACAGAAACATTCTCAGAAACTCCTTTATGACGTATGTACTCAACTAACAGAGAAGAACCTTCCTTTTGACAGAGCAGTTTTGATACACTCTTTTTGTGGAATCTGCAAGTGGATATTTGGATAGCTGTGAAGATTTCGTTGGAAACGGGAATATCTTCCTATAAAATCTAGACAGAAGCATTCTCAGAAACTGCTCTGTGATGTCTGCATTCAAGTCACAGAGTTGAACATTGCCTTTCATAGAGCAGGTTTGAAACGCTCTTTTTGTAGTATATGGAAGTAGTCGTTTCGGACGGTTTGAGGCCCATGGTGATAAAGGGAATATCTTCCCCTACAAGCTAGAAAGAAGCATTCTGTGAAACTTGTTTGTGATGTGTGTACTCAACTAACAGAGTTGAACCTTTCTTTTTACAGAGCAGTTTTGAAACACTCTTTTTGTAGAATCTGCGAGGGGATATTTGGATAGATTTTAGGATTTCGTTGGAAACGGGAATATCTTCATATAAAATCTCGACAGAAGCATTCTCAGAAACTTCTTTGTGATATCTGCATTCAAGTCACAGAGTTGAATATTCCCTTTCACAGAGTAGGTTTGAAACACTCTTTGTGGTATCTGGAAGTGGACATTTGGAGCGCCTTGACGCCTACGGTGAAAAGGGAAATATCTTCCCATAAAAACTAGACAGAAGTAATCTCAGAATCTTCTTTGGGATATATGCACGCAGCTAACAGAGTTGAACCTTTCTATTGACAGAGCAGTTTTGAAACAGTCTTTCTGTGGAATCTGCAAGTGGATATTTGGATAGCTTGGAGGATTTCGTTGGAAACGGGATTACGTATAAAAAGTGGACAGCAGCATCCTCAGAAACTTCTTTGTGATGTGTGCATTCAAGTCACAGGAGTTGAACATTCCCTTTCGTACAGCAGTTTTGAAACACTCTTTCTGTAGTATCTGGAAGTGAACATTACGACAGCTTTCAGGTCTATGGTGAGAAAGGAAATATCTTCAAATAAAAACTAGACAGAAGCATTCTCATAAACCTGTTTGTGATGTGGGAACTCAGCTAACAGAGGTGGATCTTTCTTTTGATAGAGCAGTTCTGAAAAACACTTTTTGTTGAATCTGCAAGTGGACATTTGGATAGATTTGAAGATTTCGTTGGAAACGGGAATATCTTCATATCAAATCTAGACAGAAGCATTCTCAGAAAACGTCTTTGCGATGTTTGCATTCAACTCATAGAGTTGAACATTCCGTTTCAGAGAGCAGCTTTGAGGCACTCTTTTTGTAGTATGTGCAAGTGGATATTTGGAGCGCTCTGAGGCCTACGGTGAAAAAGCAAATATCTTCCCATAACCACAAGACAGAAACATTCTCAGAAACTCCTTTATGACGTATGCACTCACCTAACAGAAAAGAACCTTCCTTTTGACAGAGCAGTTTTGATACACTCTTTTTGTAGAATCTGCAAGTGGATATTAGGATAGCTGTGAAGATTTCGTTGGAAACGGGAATATCTTCCTATAAAATCTAGACAGAAGCATTCTCAGAAGCTGCTCTGTGATGTCTGCATTCAAGTCACAGAGTTGAACATTGCCTTTCATGGAGCAGGTTTGAAACGCTCTTTTTGTACTATATGGAAGTGGACGTTTCGGACGGTTTGAGGCCCATGGTGATAAAGGGAATATCTTCCCCTACAAGCTAGAAAGAAGCATTCTGTGAAACTTGTTTGTGATGTGTGTACTCAACTAACAGAGTTGAACCTTTCTTTTTACAGAGCAGTTTTGAAACACTCGTTTTGTAGAATCTGCGAGGGGATATTTGGATAGATTTCAGGATTTCGTTGGAAACGGGAATATCTTCATATAAAATCTCGACAGAAGCATTCTCAGAAACTTCTTTGTGATATCTGCATTCAAGTCACAGAGTTGAATATTCCCTTTCACAGAGTAGGATTGGAACACTCTTTTGTAGTATCTGGAAGTGGACATTTGGAGCGCCTTGACGCCTACGGTGAAAACGGAAATATCTTCCCATAAAAACTAGACAGAAGCAATCTCAGAATCTTCTTTGGGATATATGCACGCAGTTAACAGAGTTGAACCTTTCTATTGACAGAGCAGTTTTGAAACAGTCTTTCTGTGGAATCTCCAATTGGATATTTGGATAGCTTGGAGGATTTCGTTGGAAACGGGATTACGTATAAAAAGTAGACAGCAGCATCCTCAGAAACTTCTTTGGGATGTGTGCATTCAAGTCACAGAGTTGAACATTCCCTTTCGTACAGCAGTTTTGAAACACTCTTTCTGTAGTATCTGGAAGTGAACATTAGGACAGCTTTCCGGTCTATGGTGAGAAAGGAAATATCTTCAAATAAAAACTAGACAGAAGCATTCTCATAAGCTTGTTTGTGATGTGTGAACTCAGCTAACAGAGGTGGATCTTTCTTTTGATAGAGCAGTTCTGAAAAACACTTTTTGTTGAATCTGCAAGTGGACATTTGGATAGATTTGAAGATTTCGTTGGAAACGGGAATATCTTCATATCAAATCTAGACAGAAGCATTCTCAGAAACGTCTTTGTCATGTTTGCATTCAACTCATAGAGTTGAACATTCCGTTTCAGAGAGGAGGTTTGAAGCACTCTTTTTGTAGTATGTGCAAGTGGATATTTGGAGCGCTCTGAGGCCTACGGTGAAAAAGCAAATATCTTCCCATAACCACTAGACAGAAACATTCTCAGAAACTCCTTAATGACGTATGCACTCACCTAACAGAGAAGAACCTTCCTTTTGACAGAGCAGTTTTGATACACTCTTTTTGTAGAATCTGCAAGTGGATATTTGGATAGCTGTGAAGATTTCGTTGGAAACGGGAATATCTTCCTATAAAATCTAGACAGAAGCATTCTCAGAAACTGCTCTGTGATGTCTGCATTCAAGTCACAGAGTTGAACATTGCCTTTCATAGAGCAGGTTTCAAACACTCTTTTTTTAGTATATGGAAGTGGACGATTCGGACGGTTTGAGGACCATGGTGATAAAGGAAATATCTTCCCCTACAAGCTAGAAAGAAGCATTCTGTGAAACTTGTTTGTGATGTGTGTACTCAACTAACAGTAGTTGAACCTTTCTTTTTACAGAGCAGTTTTGAAACACTCTTTTTGTAGAATCTGCGAGGGGATATTTGGATAGATTTCAGGATTTCGTTGGAAACGGGAATATCTTTATATAAAATCTCGACAGAAGCATTCTCAGAAACTTCTTTGTGATATCTGCATTCAAGTCACAGAGTTGAATATTCCCTTTCACAGAGTAGGTTTGAAACACTCTTTTTGTAGTATCTGGAAGTGGACATTTGGAGCGCCTTGACTGCTACGGAGAAAAGGGAAATATCTTCCCTAAAAAACTAGACAGAAGCAATCTCAGAATCTTCTTTGGGATATATGCACGCAGCTAACAGAGTTGAACCTTTCTATTGACAGAGCAGTTTTGAAACAGTCTTTCTGTGGAATCTGCAAGTGGATATTTGGATAGCTTGGAGGATTTCGTTGGAAAAGGGATTACGTATAAAAAGTAGACAGCAGCATCCTCAGAAACTTCTTTGTGATGTGTGCATTCAAGTCACAGAGTTGAACATTTCCTTTCGTACAGCAGTTTTGAAACACTCTTTCTGTAGTATCTGGAAGTGAACATTAGGACAGCTTTCAGGTCTATGGTGAGAAAGGAAATATCTTCAAATAAAAACTATACAGAAGCATTTTCATAAACTTGTTTGTGATGTGTGAACTCAGCTAACAGAGGTGGATCTTTCTTTTGATAGAGCAGTTCTGAAAAACACGTTTTGTTGAATCTGCAAGTGGACATTTGGATAGATTTGAAGATTTCGTTGGAAACGGGAATATCTTCATATCAAATCTAGACAGAAGCATTCTCAGAAACGTCTTTGTGATGTTTGCATTCAACTCATAGAGTTGAACATTCCCTTTCAGAGAGCAGCTTTGAAGCACTCATTTTGTAGTATGTGCAAGTGGACATTAGGAGCACTTTGAGGCCTACGGTGAAAAAGCAAATATCTTCCCATAACCACTAGACAGAAACCTTCTCAGAAACTTCTTTATGACGTATGTACTCAACTAACAGAGAAGAACCTTCCTTTTGACAGAGCAGTTTTGATACACTCTTCTTGTAGAATCTGCAAGTAGATATTTGGATATCTGTGAAGAATTCGTTGGAAAAGGGAATATCTTTCTATAAAATCTAAACAAAAGCATTCTCAGAAACTGCTCTGTGATGTCTGCATTCAAGTCACAGAGTTGAACATTGCCTTTCATAGAGCAGGTTTGAATCGCTCTTTTTGTAGTATATGGAAGTGGACGTTTCAGACGGTTTGAGGCCCATGGTGATAAAGGGAATATCTTCCCCTACAAGCTAGAAAGAAGCATTCTGTGAAACTTGTTTGTGATGTGTGTACTCAACTAACAGAGTTGAACCTTTCTTTTTACAGAGCAGTTTTGGAACACTCTTTTTGTAGAATCTGCGAGGGGATATTTAGATAGATTTCAGGATTTCGTTGGAAACGGGAATATCTTCATATAAAATCTCGACAGAAGCATTCTCAGAAACTTCTTTGTGATATGTGCATTCAAGTCACAGAGTTGAATATTCCCTTTCACAGGAGTAGGTTTGAAACACTCTTTTTGTAGTATCTGGAAGTGGACATTTGGAGCGCCTTGACGCCTACGGTGAAAAGGGAAATATCTTCCCATAAAAACTAGACAGAAGCAATCTCAGAATCTTCTTTGGGATATATGCACGCAGCTAACAGAGTTGAACCTTTCTATTGACAGAGCAGTTTTGAAACAGTCTTTCTGTGGAATCTGCAAGTGGATATTTAGATAGCTTGGAGGATTTCGTTGGAAACGGGATTACGTATAAAAAGTAGACAGCAGCATCCTCAGAAACTTCCTTGTGATGTGTGCATTCAAGTCACAGAGTTGAACATTCCCTTTCGTACAGCAGTTTTGAAACACTCTTTCTGTAGTATCTGGAAGTGAACATTAGGACAGGTTTCAGGTCTATGGTGAGAAAGGAAATATCTTCAAATAAAAACTAGACAGAAGCATTCTCATAAACTTGTTTGTGATGTGTGAACTCAGCTAACAGAGGTGGATCTTTCTTTTGATAGAGCAGTTCTGAAAAACACTTTTTGTTGAATCTGCAAGTGGACATTTGGATAGATTTGAAGATTTCGTTGGAAACGGGAATATCTTCATATCAAATATAGACAGAAGCATTCCCAGAAACGTCTTTTTGATGTTTGCATTCAACTCATAGAGTTGAACATTCTCTTTCAGAGAGCAGCTTTGAAGCACTCTTTTTGTAGTATGTGCAAGGGGATATTTGGAGCGCTCTGAGGCCTAAGGTGAAAAAGCAAATATCTTCCCATAACCACTAGACAGAAACATTCTCAGAAACTACTTTATGACGTATGTACTCAACTAACAGAGAAGAACCTTCCTTTTGACAGAGCAGTTTTGATACACTCTTTTTGTAGAATCTGCAAGTGGATATTTGGATAGCTGTGAAGATTTCGTTGGAAACGGGAATACCTTCCTATAAAATCTAGACAGAAGCATTCTCAGAAACTGCTCTGTGATGTCTGTATTCAAGTCACAGAGTTGAACATTGCCTTTCATAGAGCAGGTTTGAAACGCTCTTTTTGTAGTATACGGAAGTGGATGTTTCGGACGGTTGGAGGCCCATGGTGATAAAGGGAATATCTTCCCCTACAAGCTAGAAAGAAGCATTCTGTGAAACTTGTTTGTGATGTGTGTACTCAACTAACAGAGTTGAACCTTTCTTTTTACAGAGCAGTTTTGAAACACTCTTTTTGTAGAATCTGCGAGGGGATATTTGGATAGATTTCAGGATTTCTTTGGAAACGGGAATATCTTCATATAAAATCTCGACAGAAGCATTCTCAGAAACTTCTTTGTGATATCTGCATTCAAGTCACAGAGTTGAATATTCCCTTTCACAGAGTAGGATTGAAACACTCTTTTTGTAGTATCTGGAAGAGGACATTTGGAGCACCTTGACGCCTGCGGTGAAAAGGGAAATATCTTCCCATAAAAACTAGACAGAAGCAATCTCAGAATCTTCTTTGGGATATATGCACGCAGCTAACAGAGTTGTACCTTTCTATTGACAGAGCAGTTTTGAAACAGTCTTTCTGTGGAATCTGCAAGTGGATATTTGGATAGCTTGGAGGATTTCATTGGAAACGGGATTACATATAAAAAGTAGACAGCAGCATCCTCAGAAACTTCTTTGTGATGTGTGCATTCAAGTCACAGGGTTGAACATTTCCTTTCATACAGCAGTTTTGAAACACTCTTTCTGTAGTATCTGGAAGTGAACATTAGGACAGCTTTCAGGTCTATGGTGAGAAAGGAAATATCTTCAAATAAAAACTAGACACAAGCATTCTCATAAACTTGTTTGTGATGTGTGAACTCAGCTAACAGAGGTGGATCTTTCTTTTGATAGAGCAGTTCTGAAAAACACTTTTTGTTGATTATGCAAGTGGACATTTGGATAGATTTGAAGATTTCGTTGGAAACGGGAATATCTTCATATCAAATCTAGACAGAAGCATTCTCAGAAACGTCGTTGTGATGTTTGCATTCAACTCATAGAGTTGAACATTCCGTTTCAGAGAGCAGCTTTGAGGTACTCTTTTTGTAGTATGTGCAAGTGGATATTTGGAGCGCTCTGAGGCCTACGGTGAAAAAGCAAATATCTTCCCATAACCACTAGACAGAAACATTCTCAGAAACTCCTTTATGACGTATGCACTCACCTAACAGAGAAGAACCTTCCTTTTGACAGTGCAGTTTTGATACACTCTTTTTGTAGAATCTGCAAGTGGTTATTTGGATAGCTGCGAAGATTTCCTTGGAAACGGGAATATCTTCCTATAAAATCTAGACAGAAGCATTCTCAGAAACTGCTCTATGATGTCTGCATTCAAGTCACAGAGTTGAACATTGCCTTTCATGGAGCAGGTTTGAAACGCTCTTTTTGTAGTATATGGAAGTGGACGTTTCGGACGGTTTGAGGCCCATGGTGATAAAGGGAATATCTTCCCCTACGAGCTAGAAAGAAGCATTCTGTGAAACTTGTTTGTGATGTGTGTACTCAACTAACAGAGTTGAACCTTTCTTTTTACAGAGCAGTTTTGAAACACTCTTTTTGTAGAATCTGCGAGGGGAAGTTTGGATAGATTTCAGGATTTCGTTGGAAACGGGAATATCTTCATATAAAATCTCGACAGAAAGCATTCTCAGAAACTTCTTTGTGATATCTGCATTCAAGTCACAGAGTTGAATATTCCCTTTCACAGAGTAGGTTTGAAACACTCTTTTTGTAGTATCTGGAAGTGGACATTTGGAGCGCCTTGACGCCTACGGTGAAAAGGGAAATATCTTCTCATAAAAACTAGACAGAGCAATCTCAGAATCGTCTTTGGGATATATGCACGCAGCTAACAGAGTTGAACCTTTCTATAGACAGAGCAGTTTTGAAACAGTCTTTCTGTGGAATCTGCAAGTGGATATTTGGATAGCTTGGAGGATTTCGTTGGAAACGGGATTACGTATAAAAAGTAGACAGCAGCATCCTCAGAAACTTCTTTGTGATGTGTGCATTCAAGTCACAGAGTTGAACATTCCCTTTCGTACAGCAGTTTTGAAACACTCTTTCTGTAGTATCTGGAAGTGAACATTAGTACAGCTTTCAGGTCTATGGTGAGAAACGAAATATCTTCAAATAAAAACTAGACAGAAGCATTCTCATAAACTTGTTTGTGATGTGCGAACTCAGCTAAGAGAGGTGGATCTTTCTTTTGATAGAGCAGTTCTGAAAAACACTTTTTGTTGAATCTGCAAGTGGACATTTGGATAGATTTGAAGATTTCGTTGGAAACGGGAATATCTTCATATCAAATCTAGACAGAAGCATTCTCAGAAACGTCTTTGTGATGTTTGCATTCAACTCATAGAGTTGAACATTCCGTTTCAGAGAGCAGCTTTGAAGCACTCTTTTTGTAGTATGTGCAACTGGATATTTGGAGCGCTCTGAGGCCTACGGGGAAAAAGCAAATATCTTCCCATAACCACTAGACAGAAACATTCTCAGAAACTTCTTTATGACGTATGTACTCAACTAGCAGAGAAGAACTTTCCTTTTGACAGAGCACTTTTGATACACTCTTTTTGTAGTATCTGCAAGTGGATATTTGGATAGCTGTGAAGATTTCGTTTTAAACGGGAATATCTTCCTATAAAGTCTGGAGAGAAGCATTCTCAGAAACTGCTCTGTGATGTCTGCATTCAAGTCACAGAGTTGAACATTGCCTTTCCTAGAGCAGGTTTGAAACGCTCTTTTTGTAGTATATGGAAGTGGACGTTTCGGACGGTTTGAGGCCCATGGTGATAAAGGGAATATCTTCCCCTAAAAGCTAGAAAGAAGCATTCTGTGAAACTTGTTTGTGATGTGTGTAGTCAACTAACAGAGTTGAACCTTTCTTTTTACAGAGCAGTTTTGAAACACTCTTTTTGTAGAATCTGTGAGGGGATATTTGGATAGATTTCAGGATTTCGTTGGAAACGTGAATATCTTCATATAAAATCTCGACAGAAGCATTCTCAGAAACTTCTTTGTGATATGTGCATTCAAGTCACAGAGTTGAATATTCCCTTTCACAGAGTAGGTTTGAAACACTCTTTTTGTAGTATCTGGAAGTGGACATTTGGAGCGCATTGACGCCTACGGTGAAAAGGGAAATATCTTCCCATAAAACCTAGACAGAAGCAATCTCAGAATCTTCTTTGGGATATATGCACGCAGCTAACGGAGTTGAATCTTTCTATTGACAGAGCAGTTTTGAAACAGTCTTTCTGTGGAATCTGCAAGTGGATATTTGGATAGCTTGGAGGATTTCGTTGGAAACGGGATTACGTATAAAAAGTAGACAGCAGCATCCTCCGAAACTTCTTTGTGATGTGTGCATTCAAGTCACAGAGTAGAACATTCCCTTTCGTACAGCAGTTTTGAAACACTCTTTCTGTAGTATCTGGAAGTGAACATTAGGACAGCTTTCAGCTCTATGGTGAGAAAGGAAATATCTTCAAATAAAAACTAGACAGAAGCATTCTCATAAACTTGTTTGTGATGTGTGAACTCAGCTAACAGAGGTGGGACTTTCTTTTGATAGAGCAGTTCTGAAAAACACTTTTTGTTGAATCTGCAAGTGGACATTTGGATAGATTTGAAGATTTCGTTGGAAACGGGAATATCTTCATATCAAATCTAGACAGAAGCATTCTCAGAAACGTCGTTGTGATGTTAGCATTCAACTCATAGAGTTGAACATTCCCTTTCAGAGAGCAGCTTTGAAGCACTCTTTTTGTAGTATGTGCAAGTGGACATTTGGAGCGCTTTGAGGCCTACGGGGAAAAAGCAAATATCTTCCCATAACCACTAGACAGGAACATTCTCAGAAACTTCTTTATGACGCATGTACTCAACTAGCAGAGAAGAACTTTCCTTTTGACAGAGCATTTTTGATACATTCTTTTTCTAGTATCTGCAAGTGGATATTTGGATAGCTGTGAAGATTTCGTTGGAAACGGGAATATCTTCCTATAAAGTCTGGACAGAAGCATTCTCAGAAACTGCTCTGTGATGTCTGCATTCAAGTCACAGAGTTGAACATTGCCTTTCATAGAGCAGGTTTGAAACGCTCTTTTTGTAGTATATGGAAGAGGACGTTTTGAACGGTTTGAGGACCATGGTGATAAAGGGAATATCTTCCCCTACAAGCTAGAAAGAAGCATTCTGTGAAACTTGTTTGTGATGTTTGTACTCAACTAACAGAGTTGAACCTTTCTTTTTACAGAGCAGTTTTGAAACACTCTTTTTGTAGAATCTGCGAGGGGATATTTGGATAGATTTCAGGATTTCGTTGGAAACGGGAATATCTTCATATAAAATCTCGACAGAAGCATTCTCAGAAACTTCTTTGTGATATGTGCATTCAAGTCACAGAGTTGAATATTCCCTTTCACAGAGTAGGTTTGAAACACTCTTTTTGTAGTATCTGGAAGTGGACATTTGGAGTGCCTTGACACCTACTGTGAAAAGGGAAATATCTTCCCATAAAAACTAGACAGAAGCAATCTCAGAATCTTCTTTGGGATATATGCACGCAGCTAACAGAGTTGAACCTTTCTATTGACAGAGCAGTTTTGAAACAGTCTTTCTGTGGAATCTGCAAGTGGATATTTGGATAGCTTGGAGGATTTCGTTGGAAACGGGATTATGTATAAAAAGTAGACAGCAGCATACTCAGAAACTTCTTTGTGATGTGTGCATTCAAGTCACAGAGTTGAACATTCCCTTTCGTACAGCAGTTTTGAAACACTCTTTCTGTAGTATCTGGAAGTGAACATTAGGACAGCTTTCAGGTCTATGCTGAGAAAGGAAATATCTTCAAATAAAAACTAGACAGAAGCATTCTCATAAACTTCTTTGTGATGTGTGAACTCAGCTAACCGAGGTGGATCTTTCTTTTGATAGAGCAGTTCTGAAAAACACTTTTTGTTGAATCTGCAAGTGGACATTTGGATAGATTTGAAGATTTCGTTGGAAACGGGAATAACTTCATTTCAAATCTAGACAGAAGCATTCTCAGAAACGTCTTTGTGATGTTTGCATTTAACTCATAGAGTTGAACATTCCCTTTCAGAGACCAGCTTTGAAGCACTCTTTTTGTAGCATGTGCAAGTGGACATTTGGAGCGCCCTGAGGCCTACGGGGAAAAAGCAAATATCTTCCCATAACCACTAGACAGAAACATTCTCAGAAACTTCCTTTATGACGTATGCACTCACCTAACAGAAAAGAACCTTCCTTTTGACAGAGCAGTTTTGATACACTCTTTTTGTAGAATCTGCAAGTGGATATTTGGATAGCTGTGAAGATTTCGTTGGAAACGGGAATATCTTCCTATAAAATCTAGACAGAAGCATTCTCAGAAACTGCTCTGTGATGTCTGCATTCAAGTCACAGAGTTGAACATTGCCTTTCATAGAGCAGGTTTGAAGCGCTCTTTTTGTAGTATATGGAAGTGGATGTTTCGGACGGTTGGAGGCCCATGGTGATAAAGGGAATATCTTCCCCTACAAGCTAGAAAGAAGCATTCTGTGAAACTTGTTTGTGATGTGTGTACTCAACTAACAGAGTTGAACCTTTCTTTTTACAGAGCAGTTTTGAAACACTCTTTTTGTAGAATCTGCGAGGGGATATTTGGATAGATTTCAGGATTTCGTTGGAAACGGGAATATCTTCATATAAAATCTCGACCGAAAGCATTCTCAGAAACTTCTTTGTGATATCTGCATTCAAGTCACAGAGTTGAATATTCCCTTTCACAGAGTAGGTTTGAAACACTCTTTTTGTAGTATCTGGAAGTGGACATTTGGAGCGCCTTGACACCTACGGTGAAAAGGGAAATATCTTCCCATAAAAACTAGACAGAGCAATCTCAGAATCTTCTTTGGGATATATGCACGCAGCTAACAGAGTTGAACCTTTCTATTGACAGAGCAGTTTTGAAACAGTCTTTCTGTGGAATCTGCAAGTGGATATTTGGAGAGCTTGGAGTATTTCGTTGGAAACGGGATTAAGTATAAAAAGTAGACAGCAGCATCCTCAGAAACTTCTTTGTGATGTGTGCATTCAAGTCACAGAGTTGAACATTTCCTTTCGTACAGCAGTTTTGAAACACTCTTTCTGTAGTAACTGGAAGTGAACATTAGGACAGCTTTCAGGTCTATGGTGAGAAAGGAAATATCTTCAAATAAAAACTAGACAGAAGCATTCTCATAAACTTGTTTGTGATGTGTGAACTCAGCTAACAGAGGCGGATCTTTCTTTTGATAGAGCAGTTCGGAAAAACACTTTTTGTTGAATCTGCAAGTGGACATTTGGATAGATTTGAAGATTTCGTTGGAAACGGGAATATCTTCATATCTAATCTAGACAGAAGCATTCTCAGAAACGTCTTTGTGATGTTTGCATTCAACTCATAGAGTTGAACATTCCGTTTCAGAGAGCAGCTTTGAGGCACTCTTTTTGTAGTATGTGCAAGTGGATATTTGGAGCACTCTGAGGCCTACGGTGAAAAAGCAAATATCTTCGAATAACCACTAGACAGAAACATTCTCAGAAACTCCTTTATGACGTATGCACTCACCTAACAGAGAAGAACCTTCCTTTTGACAGAGCAGTTTTGATACACGCTTTTTGTAGAATCTGCAAGTGGATATTTGGATAGCTGTGAAGATTTTGTTGGAAACGGGAATATCTTCCTATAAAATCTAGACAGAAGCATTGTCAGAAACTGCTCTGTGATGTCTGCATTCAAGTCACAGAGTTGAACATTGCCTTTCATAGAGCAGGTTTGAAACGCTCTTTTTGTAGTATATGGAAGTAGACGTTTCGGACGGTTTGAGGCCCATGGTGATAAAGGGAATATCTTCCCCTACAAGCTAGAAAGAAGCATTCTGTGAAACTTGTTTGTGATGTGTGTACTCAACTAACAGAGTTGAACCTTTCTTTTTACAGAGCAGTTTTGAAACACTCTTTTTGTAGAATCTGCGAGGGGATATTTGGATAGATTTCAGGATTTGGTTGGAAACTGGAATATCTTCATATAAAATACTCGACAGAAGCATTCTCAGAAACTTCTTTGTGATATGTGCATTCAAGTCACAGAGTTGAATATTCCCTTTCACAGAGTAGGTTTGAAACACTCTTTTTGTAGCATCTGGAAGTGGACATTTGGAGCGCCTTGACGCCTACGGTGAAAAGGGAAATATCTTCCCATAAAAACTAGACAGAAGCAATCTCAGAATCTTCTTTGGGATATATGCATGCAGCTAACAGAGTTGAACCTTTCTATTGACAGAGCAGTTTTGAAACAGTCTTTCTGTGGAATCTGCCAGTGGATATTTGGATAGCTTGGAGGATTTCGTTGGAAACGGGATTACGTATAAAAAGTAGACAGCAGCATCCTCAGAAACTTCTTTGTGATGTGTGCATTCAAGTCACAGTAGTTGAACATTCCCTTTCGTACAGCAGTTTTGAAACACTCTTTCTGTAGTATCTGGAAGTGAACATTAGGACAGCTTTCAGCTCTATGGTGAGAAAGGAAATATCTTCAAATAAAAACTAGACAGAAGCATTCTCATAAACTTGTTTGTGATGTGTGAACTCAGCTAACAGAGGTGGATCTTTCTTTTGATAGAGCAGTTCTGAAAAACACTTTTTGTTGAATCTGCAAGTGGACATTTGGATACATTTGAAGATTTCGTTGGAAACGGGAATATCTTCATATCAAATCTAGACAGAAGCATTCTCAGAAACGTCTTTCTGATGTTTGCATTCAACCCATAGAGTTGAACATTCCGTTTCAGAGAGCAGCTTTGAAGCGCTCTTTTTGTAGTATGTGCAAGGGGATATTTTGAGCGCTCTGAGGCCTAAGGTGAAAAAGCAAGTATCTTCCCATAACCACTAGACAGAAACATTTTCAGAAACTCCTTTATGACGTATGCACTCACCTAACAGAGAAGAACCTTCCTTTTGACAGAGCAGTTTTGATACACTCTTTTTGTAGAATCTGCAAGTGGATATTTGGATAGCTGTGAAGATTTCGTTGGAAACCGGAATATCTTCCTATAAAATCTAGACAGAAGCATTCTCAGAAACTGCTCTATGATGTCTGCATTCAAGTCACAGAGTTGAACATTGCCTTTCATGGAGCAGGTTTGAAACGCTCTTTTTGTAGTATATGGAAGTGGACGTTTCGGACGGTTTGAGGCACATGGTGATAAAGGGAATATCTTCCCCTACGAGCTAGAAAGAAGCATTCTGTGAAACTTGTTTGTGATGTGTGTACTCAACTAACAGAGTTGAACCTTTCTTTTTACAGAGCAGTTTTGAAACACTCTTTTTGTAGAATCTGCAAGGCGATATTTGGATAGATTTCAGGATTTCGTTGGAAACGGGAATATCTTCATATAAAATCTCGACAGAAGCATTCTCAGAAACTTCTTTGTGATATGTGCATTCAAGTCACAGAGTTGAATATTCCCTTTCACAGAGTAGGTTAGAAACACTCTTTTTGTAGTATCTGGAAGTGGACATTTGGAGCGCCTTGACACCTACGGTGAAAAGGGAAATATCTTCCCATAAAAACTAGACAGAAGCAATCTCAGAATCTTCTTTGGGATATATGCACGCAGCTAACAGAGTTGAACCTTTCTATTGACAGAGCAGTTTTGAAACAGTCTTTCTGTGGAATCTGCAAGTGGTATTTGGATAGCTTGGAGGATTTCGTTGGAAACGGGATTACGTATAAAAAGTAGACAGCAGCATCCTCAGAAACTTCCTTGTGATGCGTGCATTCAAGTCACAGAGTTGAATATTCCCTTTCGTACAGCAGTTTTGAAACACTCTTTCTGTAGTATCTGGAAGTGAACTTTAGGAGAGTTTTCAGGTCTATAGTGAGAAAGGATATATCTTCAAATAAAAACTAGACAGAAAGCATTCTCATAAACTTGTTTGTGATGTCTGAACTCAGCTAACAGAGGTGGATCTTTCTTTTGATAGAGCAGTTCTGAAAAACACTTTTTGTTGAATCTGCAAGTGGACATTTGGATAGATTTGAAGATTTCGTTGGAAACGGGAAGATCTTCATATCAAATCTAGACAGAAGCATTCTCGGAAAACGTCTTTGTGATGTTTGCATTCAACTCATAGAGTTGAACATTCCGTTTCAGAGAGCAGCTTTGAAGCACTCTTTTTGTAGTATATGCAAGTGGATATTTGGAGCGCTCTGAGGCCTACGGTGAAAAAGCAAATATCTTCCCATAACCACTAGACAGAAACATTCTCAGAAACTCCTTTATGACGTATGCACTCACCTAACAGAGAAGAACCTTCCTTTTGACAGAGCAGTTTTGATACACTCTTTTTGTAGAATCTGCAAGTGGATAATTGGATAGCTGTGAAGATTTCGTTGGAAACGGGAATATCTTCCTATAAAATCCAGACAGAAGCATTCTCAGAAACTGCTCTGTGATGTCTGCATTGAAGTCACGGAGTTGAACATTGCCTTTCATAGAGCAGGTTTGAAACGCTCTTTTTGTAGTATATGGAAGTGGACGTTTCGGACGGTTTGAGGCCCATGGTGATAAAGGGAATATCTTCCCCTATAAGCTAGAAAGAAGCATTCTGTGAAACTTGTTTGTGATGTTTGTACTCAACTAACAGAGTTGAACCTTTCTTTTTACAGAGCAGTTTTGAAACACTCTTTTTGTAGAATCTGCGAGGGGATATTTGGATACATTTCAGGATTTCGTTGGAAATGGGAATATCTTCATAGAAAATCTCGACAAAAGCATTCTCAGAAACTTCTTTGTGATATGTGCTTTCAAGTCACAGAGTTGAATATTCCCTTTCACAGAGTAGGTTTGAAACAGTCTTTTTGTAGTATCTGGAAGTGGACATTTGGAGCGCCTTGACGCCTACGGTGAAAAGGGAAATATCTTCCCATAAAAACTAGACAGAAGCAATCTCAGAATCTTCTTTGGGTTATATGCACGCAGCTAACAGAGTTGAACCTTTCTATGGACAGAGGAGTTTTGAAACAGTCTTTCTGTGGAATCTGCAAGTGGATATTTGGATAGCTTGGAGGATTTCGTTGGAAACGGGATTACGTATAAAAAGTAGACAGCAGCATCCTCAGAAACTTCTTTGTGATGTGTGCATTCAAGTCACAGAGTTGAACATTCCCTTTCGTACAGCAGTTTTGAAACAGTCTTTCTGTAGTAACTGGAAGTGAACATTAGGACAGCTTTCAGCTCTATGGTGAGAAAGGAAATATCTTCAAATAAAAACTAGACAGAAGCATTCTCATAAACTTGTTTGTGATGTGTGAACTCAGCTAACAGAGGTTGATCTTTCTTTTGATAGAGCAGTTCTGAAAAACACTTTTTGTTGAATCTGCAAGTGGACATTTGGATAGATTTGAAGATTTCGTTGGAAACGGGAATATCTTCATATCAAGTCTAGACAGAAGCATTCTCAGAAACGTCTTTGTGATGTTTGCATTCAACTCATAGAGTTGAACATTCCGTTTCAGAGAGCAGATTTGAAGCACTCTTTTTGTAGTATGTGCAAGTGGATATTTGGAGCGCTCTGAGGCCTACGGTGAAAAAGCAAATATCTTCCCATAACCACTAGACAGAAACATTCTCAGAAACTCCTTTATGACGTATGCACTCACCTAACAGAGAAGAACCTTCCTTTTGACAGAGCAGTTTTCATACACTCTTTTTGTAGAATCTGCAAGTGGATATTTGGATAGCTGTGAAGATTTCGTTGGAAACGGGAATATCTTCCTATAAAATCTAGACAGAAGCATTCTCAGAAACTGCTCTGTGATGTCTGCATTCAAGTCACAGAGTTGAACATTGCCTTTCATAGAGCAGGTTTCAAACACTCTTTTTTTAGTATATGGAAGTGGACGATTCGGACGGTTTGAGGACCATGGTGATAAAGGAAATATCTTCCCCTACAAGATAGAAAGAAGCATTCTGTGAAACTTGTTTGTGATGTGTGTACTCAACTAACAGAGTTGAACCTTTCTTTTTACAGAGCAGTTTTGAAACACTCTTTTTGTAGAATCTGCGAGGGGATATTTGGATACATTTCAGCATTTCGTTGGAAACGGGAATGTCTTCATATAAAATATCGACAGAAGCATTCTCAGAAACTTCTTTGTGATATCTGCATTCAAGTCACAGAGTTGAATATTCCCTTTCACAGAGTAGGTTTGAAACACTCATTTTGTAGTATCTGGAAGTGGACATTTTGAGCGCCTTGACACCTACGGTAAAAAGGGAAATATCTTCCCATAAAAACTAGACAGAAGCAATCTCAGAATCTTCTTTGGGATATATGCACGCAGCTAACAGAGTTGAACCTTTCTATTGACAGAGCAGTTTTGAAACAGTCTTTCTGTGGAATCTGCAAGTGGATATTTGGATAGCTTGGAGGATTTCGTTGGAAACGGGATTAGGTATAAAAAGTAGACAGCCGCATCCTCAGAAACTTCTTTGTGATGTGTGCATTCAAGTCACAGTGTTGAACATTCCCTTTCGTACAGCAGTTTTGAAACACTCTTTCTGTAGTATCTGGAAGTGAACATTAGGACAGCTTTCAGGTCGATGGTGAGAAAGGAAATATCTTCAAATAAAAACTAAACAGAAGCATTCTCATAAACTTGTTTGTGATGTCTGAACTCAGCTAACAGAGGTGGATCTTTCTTTTGATAGAGCAGTTCTGAAAAACACTTTCTGTTGAATCTGCAAGTGGACATTTGGATAGATTTGAAGATTTCGTTGGAAACGGGAAGATCTTCATATCAAATACTAGACAGAAGCATTCTCAGAAACGTCTTTGTGATGTTTGCATTCAACTCCTAGAGTTGAACATTCCGTTTCAGAGAGCAGCTTTGAAGCACTCTTTTTGTAGTATGTGCAACTGGATATTTGGAGCGCTCTGAGGCCTACGGTGAAAAAGCAAATATCTTCCCATAACCACTAGACAGAAACATTTTCAGAAACTCCTTTATGACGTATGCACTCACCTAACAGAGAAGAACCTTCCTTTTGACAGAGCAGTTTTGATACACTCTTTTTGTAGTATCTGCAGGTGGATATTTGGATAGCTGTGAAGATTTCGTTGGAAACCGGAATATCTTCCTATAAAATCTAGACAGAAGCATTCTCAGAAACTGCTGTGTGATGTCTGCATTCAAGTCACAGAGTTGAACATTGCCTTTCACAGAGCAGGTTTGAAATGCTCTTTTTGTAGTATATGGAAGTGGACGTTTCAGACGGTTTGAGGCCCATGGTGAAAAAGGGAATATCTTCCCCTACAAGCTAGAAAGAAGCATTCTGTGAAACTTGTTTGTGATGTGTGTACTCAAGTAACAGAGTTCAACCTTTCTTTTTACAGAGCAGTTTTGAAACACTCTTTTTGTAGAATCTGTGAGGGGATATTTGGATAGATTTCAGGATTTCGTTGGAAACGAGAATATCTTCATATAAAATCTCGACAGAAGCATTCTCAGAAGCTTCTTTGTGATATGTGCATTCAAGTCACAGAGTTGAATATTCCCTTTCACAGAGTAGGTTTGAAACACTCTTTTTGTAGTATCTGGAAGTGGACATTTTGAGCACCTTGACGCCTACGGTGAAAAGGGAAATATCTTCTCATAAAAAGTAGACAGAAGCAATCTCAGAATCTTCTTTGGGATATATGCATGCAGCTAACAGAGTTGAACCTTTCTATTGACAGCAGTTTTGAAACAGTCTTTCTGTGGAATCTGCAAGTGGATATTTGGATAGCTTGGAGGATTTCGTTGGAAACGGGATTACGTATAAAAAGTAGACAGCAGCATCCTCAGAAACTTCTTTGTGATGTGTGCATTCAAGTCACAGAGTTGAATATTCCCTTTCGTACAGCAGTTTTGAAACACTCTTTCTGTAGCATCTGGAAGTGAACATTAGGACAGCTTTCAGGTCTATGGTGAGAAAGGAAATATCTTCAAATAAAAACTATACCGAAGCATTCTCATAAACTTGTTTGTGATGTGTGAACTCAGCTAACAGAGGTGGATCTTTCTTTTGATAGAGCAGTTCGGAAAAACACTTTTTGTTGAATCTGCAAGTGGACATTTGGATAGATTTGAAGATTTCGTTGGAAACGGGAATATCTTTATATCAAATCTAGACAGAAGCATTCTCAGAAACGTCTTTGTGATGTTTGCATTCAACTCATAGAGTTGAACATTCCGTTTCAGAGAGCAGCTTTGAGGCACTCTTTTTGTAGTATGTGCAAGGGGATATTTGGAGTGCTCTGAGGCCTCAGGTGAAAAAGCAAATATCTTCCCATAACCACTAGACAGAAACTTTCTCAGAAACTCCTTTATGACGTATGCACTCACCTAACAGAGAAGAACCTTCCTTTTGACAGAGCAGTTTTGATACACTCTTTTTGTAGAATCTGCAAGTGGATATTTGGATACCTGTGAAGATTTCGTTGGAAACGGGAATATCTTCCTATAAAATCTAGACAGAAGCATTCTCAGAAACTGCTCTGTGATGTCTGCATTCAAGTCACAGAGTTGAACATTGCCTTTCATAGAGCAGGTTTGAAACGCTCTTTTTGTAGTATATGGAAGTAGACGTTTCGTACGGTTTGAGGCCCATGGTGATAAAGGGAATATCTTCCCCTACAAGCTAGAAAGAAGCATTCTGTGAAACTTGTTTCTGATGTGTGTACTCAACTAACAGAGTTGAACCTTTCTTTTTACAGAGCAGTTTTGAAACACTCTTTTTGTAGAATCTGCGAGGGGATATTTGGATAGATTTCAGGATTTCGTTGGAAACGGGAGTATCTTCATATAAAATCTCGACAGAAGCGTTCTGAGAAACTTCTTGGTGATGTTTGCATTCAAGTCACAGAATTGAACATTCCCTTTAATAGAACAGGTTTGAAACACTCTTTTTGTAGTATCTGGAAGTGGACATTTGGAGCGCCTTGACGCCTACGGTGAAAAGGGAAATATCTTCCCATCAAAACTAGACAGAAGCAATCTCAGAATCTTCTTTGGGATATATGCATGCAGCTAACAGAGTTGAACCTTTCTATTGACAGAGCAGTTTTGAAACAGTCTTTCTGTGGAATCTGCAAGTGGATATTTGGATAGCTTGGAGGATTTCGTTGGAAACGGGATTAAGTATAAAAAGTAGACAGCAGCATCCTCAGAAACTTCTTTGTGATGTGTGCATTCAAGTCACAGAGTTGAACATTCCCTTTCGTACAGCAGTTTTGAAACACTCTTTCTGTAGTATCTGGAAGTGAACATTAGGACAGCTTTCAGGTCTATGGTGAGAAAGGAAATATTTTCAAATAAAAACTAGACAGAAGCATTCTCATAAACTTGTTTGTGATGTGTGAACTCAGCTAACAGAGGTGGATCTTTCTTTTGATAGAGCAGTTCTGAAAAACACTTTTTGTAGAATCTGCAAGTGGACATTTGGATAGATTTGAAGATTTCGTTGGAAACGGGAATATCTTCATATCAAATCTAGACAGAAGCATTCTCAGAAACGTCTTTGTGATGTTTGCATTCAACTCATAGAGTTGAACTTTCCGTTTCAGAGAGCAGCTTTGAAGCACTCTTTTTGTAGTATGTGCAAGTGGACATTTGGAGCGCCCTGAGGCCTACGGGGAAAAAGCAAATATCTTCCCATAACCACTAGACAGAAACATTCTCAGAAACTCCTTTACGACGTATGCACTCACCCTAACAGAGAAGAACCTTCCTTTTGACAGAGCAGTTTTGATACACTCTTTTTGTAGAATCTGCAAGTGGATATTTGGATAGCTGTGAAGATTTCGTTGGAAACGGGAATATCTTCCTATAAAATCTAGACAGAAGCATTCTCAGAAACTGCTCTGTGATGTCTGCTTTCAAGTCACAGAGTTGAACATTGCCTTTCATAGAGCAGGTTTGAAACGCTCTTTTTGTAGTATATGGAAGTGGATGTTTCGGACGGTTGGAGGCCCATGGTGATAAAGGGAATATCTTCCCCTACAAGCTAGAAAGAAGCATTCTGTGAAACTTGTTTGTGATGTCTGTACTCAACTAACAGAGTTGAACCTTTCTTTTTACAGAGCAGTTTTGAAACACTCTTTTTGTAGAATCTGCGAGGGGATATTTGGATACATTTCAGGATTTCGTTGGAAACGGGAATATCTTCATATAAAATCTCGACAGAAGCATTCTCAGAAACTTCTTGTGATATCTGCATTCAAGTCACAGAGTTGAATATTCCCTTTCACAGAGTAGGTTTGAAACACTCTTTTTGTAGTATCTGGAAGTGGACATTTGGAGCGCCTTGACCCCTACGGTGAAAAGGGAAATATCTTCCCATAAAAACTAGACAGAAGCAATCTCAGAATCTTCTTTGGGATATATGCACGCAGCTAACAGAGTTGAACCTTTCTATTGACAGATCAGTTTTGAAACAGTCTTTCTGTGGAATCTGCAAGTGGATATTTGGATAGCTTGGAGGATTTCGTTGGAAACGGGATTACGTATAAAAAGTAGACAGCAGCATCCTCAGAAACTTCTTTGTGATGTGTGCATTCAAGTCACAGAGTTGAACATTCCCTTTCGTACAGCAGTTTTGAAACACTCTTTCTGCAGTATCTGGAAGTGAACATTAGGACAGCTTTCAGGTCTATGGTGAGAAAGGAAATATCTTCAAATAAAAACTAGACAGAAGCATTCTCATAAACTTGTTTGTGATGTGTGAACTCAGCTAACAGAGGTGGATCTTTCTTTTGATAGAGCAGTTCTGAAAAACACTTTTTGTTGAATCTGCAAGTGGACATTTGGACAGATTTGAAGATTTCGTTGGAAACGGGAATACCTTCATATCAAATCTAGACAGAAGCATTCTCAGAAACGTCTTTGCGATGTTTGCATTCAACTCATAGAGTTGAACATTCCCTTTCAGAGAGCAGCTGTGAGGCACTCTTTTTGTAGTATGTGCAAGTGGATATTTGGAGCGCTCTGAGGCCTACGGTGAAAAAGCAAATATCTTCCCATAACCACTAGACAGAAACATTCTCAGAAACTCCTTTATGACTTATGCACTCACCTAACAGAGAAGAACCTTCCTTTTGACAGAGCAGTTTTGATACACTCTTTTTGTAGAATCTGCAAGTGGATATTGGGGTAGCTGTGAAGATTTCGTTGGAAACGGGAATATCTTCCTATAAAATCTAGACAGAAGCATTCTCAGAAACTGCTCTGTGATGTCTGCATTCAAGTCACAGTGTTGAACATTGCCTTTCCTAGAGCAGTTTAGAAACGCTCTTTTTGTAGTATATGGAAGTGGACGTTTCGGACGGTTTGAGGACCATGGTGATAAAGGGAATATCTTCCCCTACAAGCTAGAAAGAAGCATTCTGTGAAACTTGTTTGTGATGTGTGTACTCAACTAACAGAGTTGAACCTTTCTTTTTACAGAGCAGTTTTGAAACACGCTTTTTGTAGAATCTGCGAGGGGATATTTGGATAGATTTCAGGATTTCGTTGGGAACGGGAATATCTTCATATAAAATCTCGACAGAAGCATTCTCAGAAACTTCTTTGTGATATCTGCATTCAAGTCACAGAGTTGAATATTCCCTTTCACAGAGTAGGTTTGAAACACTCTTTTTGTAGTATCTGGAAGTGGACATTTGGAGCGCCTTAACGCCTACGGTGAAAAGGGAAATATCTTCCCATAAAAACTAGACAGAAGCAATCTCAGAATCTTCTTTGGGATATATGCACGCAGCTAACAGAGTTGAACCTTTCTATTGACAGAGCAGTTTTGAAACAGTCTTTCCGTGGAATCTGCAAGTGGATATTTGGATAGCTTGGAAGATTTCGTTGGAAACGGGATTACGTATCAAATGTAGACAGCAGCATCCTCAGAAACTTCCTTGTGATGTGTGCATTCAAGACACACAGTTGAACATTCCCTTTCGTACAGCAGTTTTGAAACACTCTTTCTGTAGTATCTGGAAGTGAACATTAGGACAGCTTTCAGGTCTATCGTGAGTAAGGAAATATCTTCAAATAAAAACTAGACAGAAGCATTCTCATAAACTTGTTTGTGATGTGTGAACTCAGCTAACAGAGGTGGATCTTTCTATTGATAGAGCAGTTCTGAAAAACACTTTTTGTTGAATCTGCAAGTGGACATTTGGATAGATTTGAAGATTTCGTTGGAAACGGGAATATCTTCATATCAAATCTAGACAGAAGCATTCTCAGAAACGTCTTTGTGATGTTTGCATTCAACTCATAGAGTTGAACATTCCGTTTCAGAGAGCAGCTTTGAAGCACTCTTTTTGTAGTATGTGCAAGTGGATATTTGGAGCGCTCTTAGGCCTACGGTGAAAAAGCAAATATCTTCCCATAACCACTAGACAGAAACATTCTCAGAAACTCCTTTATGACGTATGTACTCAACTAACAGAGAAGAACCTTCCTTTAGACAGAGCAGTTTTGATACACTCTTTTTGTAGAATCTGCAAGTGGATATTTGGATAGCTGTGAAGATTTCGTTGGAAACGGGAATATCTTCCTATAAAATCTAGACAGAAACATTCTCAGGAACTGCTCTGTGATGTCTGCATTCAAGTCACAGAGTTGAACATTGCCTTTCCTAGAGCAAATTTGAAACGCTCTTTTTGTAGTATATGGAAGTGGACGTTTCGGACGGTTTGAGACCCATGGTGATAAAGGGAATATCTTCCCCTACAAGCTAGAAAGAAGCATTCTGTGAAACTTGTTTGTGATGTGTGTACTCAACTAACAGAGTTGAACCTCTCTTTTTACAGAGCAGTTTTGAAACACTCTTTTTGTAGAATCTGCGAGGGGATATTTGGATAGATTTCAGGATTTCGTTGGAAACGGGAATATCTTTATATAAAATCTCGACAGAAGCATTCTCAGAAACTTCTTTGTGATATCTACATTCAAGTCACAGAGTTGAATATTCCCTTTCACAGAGTAGGTTTGAAACACTCTTTTTGTAGTATCTGGAAGTGGACATTTGGAGCGCCTTGACACCTACGGTGAAAAGGGAAATATCTTCCCATAAAAACTAGACAGAAGCAATCTCAGAATCTTCTTTGGGATATATCGCACGCAGCTAACAGAGTTGAACCTTTCTATTGACAGAGCAGTTTTGAAACAGTCTTTCTGTGGAATCTGCAAGTGGATATTTGGATAGCTTGGAGGATTTCTTTGGAAACGGGATTACGTATAAAAAGTAGACAGCAGCATCCTCAGAAACTTCTTTGTGATGTGTGCATTCAAGTCACAGAGTTGAACATTCCCTTTCGTACAGCAGTTTTGAAACACTCTTTCTGTAGTATCTGGAAGTGAACATTAGGACAGCTTTCAGGTCTATGGTGAGAAAGGAAATATCTTCAAATAAAAACTTGACAGAAGCATTTTCATAAACTTGTTTTTGATGTGTGAACTCAGCTAACAGAGGTGGATCTTTCTTTTGATAGAGCAGTTCTGAAAAACACTTTTTGTTGAATCTGCAAGTGGACATTTGGATAGATTTGAAGATTTCGTTGGAAACGGGAATATCTTCCTATCAAATCTAGACAGAAGCATTCTCAGAAACGTCTTTGTGATGTTTGCATTCAACTCATAGAGTTGAACATTCCCTTTCAGAGAGCAGCTTTGAAACACTCTTTTTGTAGTATGTGCAAGTGGATATTTGGAGCGCTCTGAGGCCTACGGTGAAAAAGCAAATATCTTCCCATAACCACTAGACAGAAACATTCTCAGAAACTCCTTTATGACGTATGCACTCACCTAACAGAGAAGAACCTTCCATTTGACAGAGCAGTTATGATACACTCTTTTTGTAGAATCTGCAAGTGGATATTTGGATAGCTGTGAAGATTTCGCTGGAAACGGGAATATCTTCCTATAAAATCTAGACAGAAGCATTCTCAGAAGCTGCTCTGTGATGTCTGCATTCAAGTCACAGAGTTGAACATTGCCTTTCATAGAGCAGGTTTGAAACGCTCTTTTTGTAGTATATGGAAGTGGACTTTTCGGACGGTTTGAGGCCCATGGTGATAAAGGGAATATCTTCCCCTACAAGCTAGAAAGAAGCATTCTGTGAAACTTGTTTGTGATGTGTGTACTCAACTAACAGAGTTGAACCTTTCTTTTCACAGAGCAGTTTTGAAACACTCTTTTTGTAGAATCTGCGAGGGGATATTTGGATAGATTTCAGGATTTCGTTGGAAACGGGTATATCTTCATATAAAATCTCGACAGAAGCATTCTCAGAAACTGCTCTGTGATATCTGCATTCAAGTCACAGAGTTGAATATTCCCTTTCACAGAGTAGGTTTGAAACACTCTTTTTGTAGTATCTGGAAGTGGACATTTGGAGCGCCTTGACGTCTACTGTGAAAAGGGAAATATCTTCCCATCAAATCTAGACAGAAGCAATCTCAGAATCTTCTTTGGGATATATGCACGCAGCTTACAGAGTTGAACCTTTCTATTGACAGAGCAGTTTTGAAACAGTCTTTTTGAGGAATCTGCAAGTGGATATTTGGATAGCTTGGAGGATTTCGTTGGAAACGGTATTATGTATAAAAAGTAGACAGCAGTATTCTCAGAAACTCCTTTGTGATGTGTGAATTCAAGTCACAGAGTTCAACATTCCCTTTCGCAGAGCAGGTTTGAACCACTCTTTCTCTAGTATCTGGAAGTGAACATTACGAGAGCTTTCAGGTCCATGGTGAGAAAGGAAATATCTTCAAATAAAAACTAGACAGAAGCATTCTCATAAACTTGTTTGTGATGTCTGAACTCAGCTAACAGAGGTGGATCTTTCTTTTGATACAGCAGTTCTGAAAAACACTTTTTGTTGAATCTGCAAGTGGACATTTGGATAGATTTGAAGATTTCGTTGGAAACGGGAATATCTTCATATCAAATCTAGACAGAAGCATTCTCAGAAACGTCTTTGCGATGTTTGCATTCAACTCATAGAGTTGAACATTCCGTTTCAGAGAGCAGTTTTGAGGCACTCTTTTTGTAGTATGTGCAAGTGGATATTTGGAGCGCTCTGAGGCCTACGGTGAAAAAGCAAATATCTTCCCATAACCACTAGACAGAAACATTCTCAGAAACTCCTTTATGACGTATGCACTCACCTAACAGAAAAGAACCTTCCTTTTGACAGAGCAGTTTTGATACACTCTTTTGGTAGAATCTGCAAGTGGATATTTGGATAGCTGTGAAGATTTCGTTGGAAACGGGAATATCTTCCTATAAAATCTAGACAGAAGCATTCTCAGAAACTGCTCTGTGATGTCTGCATTCAAGTCACAGAGTTGAACATTGCCTTTCATAGAGGAGGTTTGAAACGCTCTTTTTGTAGTATATGGAAGTGGACGTTTCGGACGGTTTGAGGCCCATGGTAATAAAGGGAATATCTTCCCCTACAAGCTAGAAAGAAGCATTCTGTGAAACTTGTTTGTGATGTGTGTACTCAACTAACAGAGTTGAACCTTTCTTTTTACAGAGCAGTTTTGAAACACTCTTTTTGTAGAATCTGCGAGGGCATATTTGGATAGATTTCAGGATTTCGTTGGAAACGGGAATATCTTCATATAAAATCTCGACAGAAGCATTCTCAGAAACTTCTTTGTGATATGTGCATTCAAGTCACAGAGTTGAATATTCCCTTTCACAGAGTAGGTTTGAAACACTCTTTTTGTAGTATCTGGAAGTGGACATTTGGAGCGCCTTCACACCTACGGTGAAAAGGGAAATATCTTCCCATAAAAACTAGACAGAAGCAATCTCAGAATCTTCTTTGGGATATATGCACGCAGCTAACGGAGTTGAACCTTTCTATTGACAGAGGAGTTTTGAAACAGTCTTTCTGTGGAATCTGCAAGTGGATATTTGGATAGCTTGGAGGATTTCGTTGGAAACGGGATTACGTATAAAAAGTAGACAGCAGCATCCTCAGAAACTTTTTTGTGATGTGTGCATTCAAGTCACAGAGTTGAACATTCCCTTTTGTACAGCAGTTTTGAAACACTCTTTCTGTAGTATCTGGAAGTGAACATTAGGACAGCTTTCAGGTCTATGGTGAGAAAGGAAATATCTTCAAATAAAAACTAGACAGAAGCATTCTCATAAACTTGTTTGTGATGTGTGAACTCAGCAAACAGCGGTGGATCTTTCTTTTGATAGAGCAGTTCTGAAAAACACTTTTTGTTGAATCTGCAAGTGGACATTTGGATAGTTTTGAAGATTTCCTTGGAAAAAGGAATATCTTCATATCAAATCTAGACAGAAGCATTCTCAGAAACGTCTTTGCGATGTTTGCATTCAACTCATAGAGTTGCACATTCCGTTTCAGAGAGCAGCTTTGAGACACTCTTTTTGTAGTATGTGCAAGTGGATATTTGGAGCGCTCTGAGGCCTACGGTGAAAAAGCAAATATCTTCCCATAACCACTAGACAGAAACATTCTCAGAAACTCCTTTACGACGTATGCACTCACCTAACAGAGAAGAACCTTCCTTTTGACAGAGCAGTTTTGATACACTCTTTTTGTAGAATCTGCAAGTGGATATTTGGATAGCTGTGAAGATTTTGTTGGAAACGGGAATATCTTCCTATAAAATCTAGACAGAAGCATTCTCAGAAACTGCTCTGTGATGTCTGCATTCAAGTCACAGAGTTGAACATTGCCTTTCATAGAGCAGGTTTGAAATGCTCTTTTTGCTGTATATGGAAGTGGACGTTTCAGACGGTTTGAGGCCCATGGTGATAAAGGGAATATCTTCCCCTACAAGCTAGAAAGAAGCATTCTGTGAAACTTGTTTGTGATGTGTGCACTCAACTAACAGAGTTGAACCTTTCTTTTTACAGAGCAGTTTTGAAACACTCTTTTTGTAGAATCTGCGAGGGGATATTTGGATAGATTTCAGGATTTCGTTGGAAACGGGAATATCTTCATATAAAATCTCGACAGAAGCATTCTCAGAAACTTCTTTGTGATATCTGCATTCAAGTCACAGAGTTGAATATTCCCTTTCACAGAGTAGGTTTGAAACACTCTTTTTGTAATATCTGGAAGTGGACATTAGGAGCGCCTTGACGCCTACGGTGAAAAGGGAAATATCTTCCCATAAAAATTAGACAGAAGCAATCTCAGAATCTTCTTTGGGATATATGCACGCAGCTTACAGAGTTGAACCTTTCTATTGACAGAGCAGTTTTGAAACAGTCTTTCTGTGGAATCTGCAAGTGGATATTTGGATAGCTTGGAGGATTTCGTTGGAAACGGGATTACGTATAAAAAGTAGACAGCCGCATCCTCAGAAACTTCTCTGTGATGTGTGCATTCAAGTCACAGAATTGAACATTCCCTTTCGTACAGCAGTTTTGAAACACTTTTTCTGTAGCATCTGGAAGAGAACATTAGGACAGCTTTCAGGTCTATGGTGAGAAAGGAAATATCTTCAAATAAAAACTAGACAGAAACATTCTCATAAACTTGTTTGTCATGTGTGAACTCAGCTAACAGACGTGGATCTTTCTTTTGATACAGCAGTTTTGAAAAACACTTTTTGTTGAATCTGCAAGTGGACATTTGGATAGATTTGAAGATTTCGTTGGAAACGGGAATATCTTCATATCAAATCTAGACAGAAGCATTCTCAGAAACGTCTTTGTGATGTTTGCATTCAACTCATAGATTTGAACATTCCGTTTCAGAGAGCAGCTTTGAAGCACTCTTTTTGTAGTATGTGCAAGGGGATATTTGGAGCGCTCTGAGGCCTACGGTGAAAAAGCAAATATCTTCCCATAACCACTAGACAGAAACATTCTCAGAAACTCCTTTATGACGTATGCACTCACCTAACAGAGAAGAACCTTCCTTTTGACAGAGCAGTTTTGATACACTCTTTTTGTAGAATCTGCAAGTGGATATTTGGATAGCTGTGAAGATTTCTTTGGAAACGGGAATATCTTCCTATAAAGTATAGACAGAAGCATTCTCAGAAACTGCTCTGTGATGTCTGCATTCAAGTCACAGAGTTGAACATTGCCTTTCCTAGAGCAGGTTTGAAACGCTCTTTTTGTAGTATATGGAAGTGGACGTTTCAGACGGTTTGAGGCCCATGGTGATAAAGGGAATATCTTCCCCTACAAGCTAGAAAGAAGCATTCTGTGAAACTTGTTTGTGATGTGTGTACTCAACTAACAGAGTTGAACCTTTCTTTTCACAGAGCAGTTTTGAAACACTCTTTTTGTAGAATCTGTGAGGGGATATTTGGATAGATTTCAGGATTTCGTTGGAAACGGGAATATCTTCATACAAAATCTCGACAGAAGCATTCTCAGAAACTTCCTTCTGATATGTGCATTCAAGTCACAGAGTTGAATATTCCCTTTCACAGAGTAGGTTTGAAACACTCTTTTTGTAGTATCTGGAAGTGGTCATTTGGAGCGCCTTGACGCCCACGGTGAAAAGGGAAATATCTTCCCATAAAAACTAGACAGAAGCAATCTCAGAATCTTCTTTGGGATATATGCACGCAGCTAACAGAGTTGAACCTTTCTATTGACAGAGCAGTTTTGAAACAGTCTTTCTGTGGAATCTGCAAGTGGATATTTGGATAGATTGCAGGATTTCGTTGGAAACGGGATTACGTATAAAAAGTAGACAGCAGCATCCTCAGAAACTTCTTTGTGATGTGTGCATTCAAGTCACAGAGTTGAACATTCCCTTTCGTACAGCAGTTTTGAAACACTCTTTCTGTAGCATCTGGAAGTGAACATTAGGACAGCTTTCAGGTCTATGGTGAGAAAGGAAATATCTTCAAATAAAAACTAGACACAAGCATTCTCATCAACTTGTTTGTGATGTGTGAACTCAGCTAACAGAGGTGGATCTTTCTTTTGATAGAGCAGTTCTGAAAAACACTTTTTGTTGAATCTGCAAGTGGACATTTGGATAGATTTGAAGATTTCGTTGGAAACGGGAATATCTTCATATCAAGTCTAGACAGAAGCATTCTCAGAAACGTCTTTGTGATGTTTGCATTCAACTCATAGAGTTGAACATTCCGTTTCAGAGAGCAGCTTTGAAGCACTCTTTTTGTAGTATGTGCAAGTGGATATTTGGAGCGCTGTGAGGCCTACGGTGAAAAAGCAAATATCTTCCCATAGCCACTAGACAGATAAACATTCTCAGAAACTCCTTTATGACGTATGCACTCACCTAACAGAGAAGAACCTTCCTTTTGACAGAGCAGTTTTGATACACTCTTTTTGTAGAATCTGCAAGTGGATATTTGGATAGCTGTGAAGATTTCGTTGGAAACGGGAATATCTTCCTATAAAATCTAGACAGAAGCATTCTCAGAAACTACTCTGTGATGTCTGCATTCAAGTCACAGAGTTGAACATTGCCTTTCATAGAGCAGGTTTGAAACGCTCTTTTTGTAGTATATGGAAGTGAACGTTTCGGACGGTTTGAGGCCCATGGTGATAAAGGGAATATCTTCCCCTACAAGCTAGAAAGAAGCATTCTGTGAAACTTGTTTGTGATGTGTGTACTCAACTAACAGAGTTGAACCTTTCTTTTTACAGAGCAGTTTTGAAACACTCTTTTTGTAGAATATGCGAGGGGATATTTGGATAGATTTCAGGATTTCTTTGGAAACGGGAATATCTTCATATAAAATCTCGACAGAAGCATTCTCAGAAACTTCTTTGTGATATCTGCATTCAAGTCACAGAGTTGAATATTCCCTTTCACAGAGTAGGTTTGAAACACTCTTTTTGTAGTATCTGGAAGTGGACATTTGGAGCGCCTTGACGCCTATGGTGAAAAGGGAAATATCTTCTCATAAAAAGTAGACACAAGCAATCTCAGAATCTTCTTTGGGATATATGCACGCTGCTAACAGAGTTGAACCTTTCTATTGACAGAGCAGTTTTGAAACAGTCTTTCTGTGGAATCTGCAAGTGGATATTTGGATAGCTTGGAGGATTTCGTTGGAAACGGGATTACGTATAAAAAGTAGACAGCAGCATCCTCCGAAACTTCTTTGTGATGTGTGCATTCAAGTCACAGTAGTTGAACATTCCCTTTCGTACAGCAGTTTTGAAACACTCTTTCTGTAGTATCTGGAAGTGAACATTAGGACAGCTTTCAGCTCTATGGTGAGAAAGGAAATATCTTCAAATAAAAACTAGACAGAAGCATTCTCATAAACTTGTTTGTGATGTGTGAACTCAGCTAACAGAGGTGGATCTTTCGATAGAGCAGTTCTGAAAAACACTTTTTGTTGAATCTGCAAGTGGACATTTGGAAAGATTTGAAGATTTCGTTGGAAACGGGAATATGTTCATATCAAATCTAGACAGAAGCATTCTCAGAGACGTCTTTGTGATGTTTGCATTCAACTCATAGAGTTGAACATTCCCTTTCAGAGAGCAGCTTTGAAGCACTCTTTTTGTAGCATGTGCAAGTGGACATTTGGAGCACCCTGAGGCCTACGGTGAAAAAGCAAATATCTTCCCATAACCACTAGACAGAAACATTCTCAGAAACTCCTTTATGACGTATGCCCTCACCTAACAGAAAAGAACCTTCCTTTTGACAGAGCAGTTTTGATACACTCTTTTTGTAGAATCTGCAAGTGGATATTTGGATAGCTGTGAAGATTTCGTTGGAAACGGGAATATCTTCCTATAAAATCTAGACAGAAACATTCTCAGAAACTGCTCTGTGATGTCTGCATTCAAGTCACAGAGTTGAACATTGCCTTTCATAGAGCAGGTTTGAAACGCTCTTTTTGTAGTATATGGAAGTGGACGTTTCGGACGGTTTGAGGCCCATGGTGATGAAGGGAATATCTTCCCCTACAAGCTAGAAAGAAGCATTCTGTGAAACTTGTTTGTGATGTGTGTACTCAACTAAGAGAGTTGAACCTTTCTTTTCACAGAGCAGTTTTGAAACACTCTTTTTGTAGAATCTGCGAGGGGATATTTGGATACATTTCAGGATTTCGTTGGAAACGGGAATATCTTCATACAAAATCTCGACAGAAGCATTCTCAGAAGCTTCTTTGTGATATGTGCATTTAAGTCACAGAGTTGAATATTCCCTTTCACAGAGTAGGTTTGAAACACTCTTTTTGTAGTATCTGGAAGTGGACATTTGGAGCGCCTTGACGCCTACGGTGAAAAGGGAAATATCTTCTCATAAAAAGTAGACACAAGCAATCTCAGAATCTTCTTTGGGATATATGCACGCAGCTAACAGAGTTGAACCTTTCTATTGACAGAGCAGTTTTGAAACAGTCTTTCTGTGGAAGCTGCAAGTGGATATTTGGATAGGTTGGAGGATTTCGTTGGAAACGGGATTACATATAAAAAGTAGACAGCAGCATCCTCAGAAACTTCTTTGTGATGTGTGCATTCAAGTCACAGAGTTGAACATTCCCTTTCGTACAGCAGTTTTGAAACACTCTTTCTGTAGTATCTGGAAGTGAACATTAGGACAGCTTTCAGCTCTATGGTGAGAAAGGAAATATCTTCAAATAAAAACTAGACAGAAGCATTCTCATAAACTTGTTTCTGATGTGTGAACTCAGCTAACAGAGGTGGATCTTTCTTTTGATAGAGCAGTTCTGAAAAACACTTTTTGTTGAATCTGCAAGTGGACATTTGGATAGATTTGAAGATTTCTTTGTAAACGGGAATATCTTCATATCAAATCTAGACAGAAGCATTCTCAGAAACGTCTTTGTGATGTTGGCATTCAACTCATAGAGTTGAACATTCACTTTCAGAGAGCAGCTTTGAAGCACTCTTTTTGTAGTATGTGCAAGTGGATATTTGGAGCGCTCTGAGGCCTACGGTGAAAAAGCAAATATCTTCCCATAACCACTAGACAGAAACATTCTCAGAAACTCCTTTGTGACGTATGTACTCAACTAACAGAGAAGAACTTTCCTTTTGACAGAGCATTTTTGATACACTCTTTTTGTACTATCTGCAAGTGGATATTTGGATAGCTGTGAAGATTTCGTTGGAAACGGGAATATCTTCCCATAAAACCTAGACAGAAGCATTCTCAGAAACTGCTCTGTGATGTCTGCATTCAAGTCACAGAGTTGAACATTGCCTTTCATAGAGCAGGTTTGAAACGCTCTTTTTTGTAGTATATGGAAGTGGACTTTTCGGACGGTTTGAGGCCCATGGTGATAAAGGGAATATCTTCCCCTACAAGCTAGAAAGAAGCATTGTGTGAAACTTGTTTGTGATGTGTGTACTCAACTAACAGAGTTGAACCTTTCTTTTTACAGAGCAGTTTTGAAACACTCTTTTTGTAGAATCTGCGAGGGGATATTTGGATAGATTCCAGCATTTCGTTGGAAACGGGAATATCTTCATATAAAATCTCGACAGAAGCATTCTCAGAAACTTCTTTGTGATAACTGCATTCAAGTCACAGAGTTGAATATTCCCTTTCACCGAGTAGGTTTGAAACACTCTTTTTGTAGTATCTGGAAGTGGACATTTGGAGCGCCATGACGCCTACGGTGAAAAGGGAAATATCTTCCCATAAAAACTAGACAGAAGCAATCTCAGAATCCTCTTTGGGATATATGCACGCAGCTAACGGAGTTGAACCTTTCTATTGACAGAGCAGTTTTGAAACAGTCTTTCTGTGGAATCTGCAAGTGGATATTTGGATAGCTTGGAGGATTTCGTTGGAAACGGGATTACGTATAAAAAGTAGACAGCAGCCTCCTCAGAAACTTTCCTTGTGATGTGTGCATTCAAGTCACAGGGTTGAACATTCCCTTTCGTACAGCAGTTTTGAAACACTCTTTCTGTAGTATCTGGAAGTGAACATTAGGACAGCTTTCAGGTCTATGGTGAGAAAGGAAATATCTTCAAATAAAAACTAGACAGAAGCATTCTGATAAACTTGTTTGTGAAGTGTGATCTCAGCTAACAGAGGTGGATCTTTCTATTGATAGAGCAGTTCTGAAAAACACTTTGTTGAATCTGCAAGTGGACATTTGGATAGATTTGAAGATTTCGTTGGAAACGGGAATATCTTCATATCAAATCTAGACAGAAGCATTCTCAGAAACGTCTTTGCAATGTTTGCATTCAACTCATAGAGTTGAACATTCCGTTTCAGAGAGCAGCTTTGAGGCACTCTTTTTGTAGTATGTGCAAGTGGATATTTGGAGCGCTCAGAGGCCTACGGTGAAAAAGCAAATATCTTCCCATAACCACTAACAGAAACATTCTCAGAAACTCCTTTATGAGGTATGCACTCACCTAACAGAGAAGAACCTTCCTTTTGACAGAGCAGTTTTGATACACTCTTTTTGTAGAATCTGCAAGTGGATATTTGGATAGCTGTGAAGATTTCGTTGGAAACGGGAATATCTTCCTATAAAATCTAGACAGAAGCATTCTCAGAAACTGCTCTGTGTTGTCTGCATTCAAGTCACAGAGTTGAACATTGCCTTTCATAGAGCAGGTTTGAAACGCTCTTTTTGTAGTATATGGAAGTGGACTTATCGGACGGTTTGAGGCCCATGGTGATAAAGGGAATATCTTCCCCTACAAGCTAGAAAGAAGCATTCTGTGAAACTTGTTTGTGATGTGTGTACTCAACTAACAGAGTTGAACCTTTCTTTTTACAGAGCAGTTTTGAAACACTCTTTTTGTAGAATCTGCGAGGGGATATTTGGATACATTTCAGCATTTCGTTGGAAACGGGAATATCTTCATAAAAAATCTCGACAGAAGCATTCTCAGAAGCTTCTTTGTGATATGTGCATTCAAGTCACAGAGTTGAATATTCCCTTTCACAGAGTAGGTTTGAAACACTCTTTTTGTAGTATCTGGAAGTGGACATTTGGAGCGCCTTGACGCCTACGTTGAAAAGGGAAATACCTTCTCATAAAAAGTAGACAGAAGCAATCTCAGAATCTTCTTTGGGATATATGCACGCAGCTTACAGAGTTGAACCTTTCTATTGACAGAGCAGTTTTGAAACAGTCTTTCTGTGGAATCTGCAAGTGGATATTTGGATAGCTTGGAGGATTTCGTTGGAAACGGGATTACGTATAATAAGTAGACAGCAGCATCCTCAGAAACTTCTTTGTGATGTGTGCATTCAAGTCACAGAGTTGAACATTCCCTTTCGTACAGCAGTTTTGAAACACTCTTTCTGTAGTATCTGGAAGTGAACATTAGGACAGCTTTCAGGTCTATGGAGAGAAAGGAAATATCTTCAAATAAAAACTAGACAGAAGCATTCTCATAAACTTGTTTGTGATGTGTGAACTCAGCTAACAGAGGTGGATCTTTCTTTTGATAGAGCAGTTCTGAAAAACACTTTTTGTTGAATCTGCAAGTGCACATTTGGATAGATTTGAAGATTTCGTTGGAAACGGGAATATCTTCATATCAAATCTAGACAGAAGCATTCTCAGAAACGTCTTTGTCACGTTTGCATTCAACTCATAGAGTTGAACATTCCCTTTCAGAGAGCAGCTTTGAAACACTCTTTTTGTAGTATGTGCAAGTGGATATTTGGAGCGCTCTGAGGCCTACGGTGAAAAAGCAAATATCTTCCCATAACCACTAGACAGAAACATTCTCAGAAACTCCTTTATGACGTATGCACTCACCTAACAGAGAAGAACCTTCCTTTTGACAGAGCAGTTTTGATATACTCTTTTTGTAGAATCTGCAAGTGGATATTTGGATAGCTGTGAAGATTTCGTTGGAAACGGGAATATCTTCCTATAAAATCTAGACAGAAGCATTCTCAGAAACTGCTCTGTGATGTCTGCATTCAAGTCACAGAGTTGAACATTGCCTTTCATAGAGCAGGTTTGAAACACTCTTTTTTTAGTATATGGAAGTGGACGTTTCGGACGGTTTGAGGCCCATGGTGATAAAGGAAATATCTTCCCCTACAAGTTAGAAAGAAGCATTCTGTGAAACTTGTTTGTGATGTGTGTACTCAACTAAGAGAGTTGAACCTTTCTTTTCACAGAGCAGTTTTGAAACACTCTTTTTGTAGAATCTGCGAGGGGATATTTGGATAGATTTCAGCATTTCTTTGGAAACGGGAATATCTTCATATAAAATCTCGACAGAAGCATTCTCAGAAACTTCTTTGTGATATGTGCATTCAAGTCACAGAGTTGAATATTCCCTTTCACAGAGTAGGTTTGAAACACTCTTTTTGTAGTTTCTGGAAGTGGACATTTGGAGCGCCTTGACACCTACGGTGAAAAGGGAAATATCTTCCCATAAAAACTAGACAGAAGCAATCTCAGAATCTTCTTTGGGATATATGCACGCAGCTAACAGAGTTGAATCTTTCTGTTGACAGAGCAGATTTGAAACAGTCTTTCTGTGGAATCTGCAAGTGGATATTTGGATAGCTTGGAGGATTTCGTTGGAAACGGGATTATGTATAAAAAGTAGACAGCAGCATCCTCAGAAACTTCTTTGTGATGTGTGCATTCAAGTCACAGAGTTGAACATTCCCTTTCGTACAGCAGTTTTGAAACACTGTTTCTGTAGTATCTGGAACTGAACATTAGGACAGCTTTAAGGTCTATGGTGAGAAAGGAAATATCTTCAAATAAAAACTAGACAGAAGCATTCTCATCAACTTGTTTGTGATGTGTGAACTCAGCTAACAAAGGTGGATCTTTCTTTTGATAGAGCAGTTCTGAAAAACACGATTTGTTGAATCTGCAAGTGGACATTTGGATAGATTTGAAGATTTCGTTGGAAACGGGAATATCTTCATATCAAATCTAGACAGAAGCATTCTCGGAAACGTCTTTGTCACGTTTGCATTCAACTCATAGAGTTGAACATTCCGTTTCAGAGAGCAGCTTTGAAGCACTCTTTTTGTAGTATGTGCAAGGGGATATTTGGAGCGCTGTGAGGCCTACGGTGAAAAAGCAAATATCTTCCCATAACCACTAGACAGAAACATTCTCAGAAACTCCTTTATGACGTATGCACTCACCTAACAGAGAAGAACCTTCCTTTTGACAGAGCAGTTTTGATACACTTTTTTTGTAGAATCTGCAAGTGGATATTTGGATAGCTGTGAAGATTTCGTTGGAAACGGGAATATCTTCCTATAAAATCTAGACAGAAGCATTCTCAGAAACTGCTCTGTGATGTCTGCATTCAAGTCACAGAGTTGAACATTGCCTTTCATAGAGCAGGTTTGAAACGCTCTTTTTGTAGTATATGGAAGTGGACGTTTCGGACGGTTTGAGACCCATGGTGATAAAGGGAATATATTCCCCTACAAGCTAGAAAGAAGCATTCTGTGAAACTTGTTTGTGATGTGTGTACTCAACTAACAGAGTTGAACCTTTCTTTTTACAGAGCAGTTTTGAAACACTCTTTTTGTAGAATCTGCGAGGGGATATTTGGATACATTTCAGGATTTCGTTGGAAACGGGAATACCTTCATATAAAATCTCGACAGAAGCATTCTCAGAAACTTCTTTGTGATATCTGCATTCAAGTCACAGAGTTGAATATTCCCTTTCACCGAGTAGGTTAGAAACACTCTTTTTGTAGTATCTGGAAGTGGACATTTGGAGCGCCTTGACGCCTACGGTGAAAAGGGAAATATCTTCCCATTAAAACTAGACAGAAGCAATCTCAGAATCTTCTTTGGGATATATGCACGCAGCTAACAGAGTTGAACCTTTCTATTGACAGAGCAGTTTTGAAACAGTCTTTCTGTGGAATCTGCAAGTGGATATTTGGATAGTTGGAGGATTTCGTTGGAAACGGGATTACGTATAAAAAGTAGACAGCAGCATCCTCAGAAACTTCTTTGTGATGTGTGCATTCAAGTCACAGAGTTGAACATTCCCTTTCGTACAGCAGTTTGGAAACACTCTTTCTGTAGTATCTGGAAGTGAACATTAGGACAGCTTTCAGGTCTATGGTGAGAAAGGAAATATCTTCAAATAAAAACTAGACAGAAGCATTCTCATAAACTTGTTCGTGATGTGTGAACTCAGCTAACACACGTGGATCTTTCTTTTGATAGAGCAGTTCTGAAAAACACTTTTTGTTGAATCTGCAAGAGGACAGTTGGATAGATTTGAAGATTTCGTTGGAAACGGGAATATCTTCATATCAAATCTAGACAGAAGCATCTCAGAAACGTCTTTGCGATGTTTGCATTCAACTCATAGAGTTGAACATTCCGTTTCAGAGAGCAGCTTTGAGGCACTCTTTTTGTAGTATGTGCAAGTGGATATTTGGAGCGCTCTGAGGCCTACGGTGAAAAAGCAAATATCTTCCCATAACCACTAGACAGAAACATTCTCAGAAACTCCTTTATGACGTATGCACTCACCTAACAGAAAAGAACCTTCCTTTTGACAGAGCAGTTTTGATACACTCTTTTTGTAGAATCTGCAAGTGGATATTTGGATAGCTGTGAAGATTTCGTTGGAAACGGGAATATCATCCTATAAAATCTAGACAGAAGCATTCTCAGAAACTGCTCTGTGATGTCTGCATTCAAGTCACAGAGTTGAACATTGCCTTTCACAGAGCAGCTTTGAAATGCTCTTTTTGTAGTATATGGAAGTGGACGTTTCAGACGGTTTGAGGCCCATGGTGATAAAGGGAATATCTTCCCCTACAAGCTAGAAAGAAGCATTATGTGAAACTTGTTTGTGATGTGTGTACTCAACTAACAGAGTTGAACCTTTCTTTTTACAGAGCAGTTTTGAAACACTCTTTTTGTAGAATCTGCGAGGGGATATTTGGATAGATTTCAGGATTTCGTTGGAAACGGGAATATCTTCATATAAAATCTCGACAGAAGCATTCTCAGAAACTTCCTTGTGATATGTGCATTCAAGTCACAGGAGTTGAATATTCCCTTTCACAGGAGTAGGTTTGAAACACTCTTTTTGTAGTATCTGGAAGTGGACATTTGGAGCGCCTTGACGCCTACGGTGAAAAGGGAAATATCTTCCCATAAAAACTAGACAGAAGCAATCTCAGAATCTTCTTTGGGATATATGCACGCAGCTAACAGAGTTGAACCTTTCTCTTGACAGAGCAGTTTTGAAACATTCTTTCTGTGGAATCTGCAAGTGGATATTTGGATAGCTTGGAGGATTTCGTTGGAAACGGGATTATGTATAAAAAGTAGACAGCAGCATCCTCAGAAACTTCTTTGTGAAGTGTGCATTCAAGTCACAGAGTTGAACATCCCGTTTCGTACAGCAGTTTTGAAACACTCTTTCTGTAGTATCTGGAAGAAAACATTAGGACAGCTTTCAGGTCTATGGTGAGAAAGGAAATATCTTCAAATAAAAACTAGACAGAAGCATTCTCATAAACTTGTTTGTGATGTGTGAACTCAGCTAACAGAGGTGGATCTTCCCTTTTGATAGAGCAGTTCTGAAAAACTCATTTTGTTGAATCTGCAAGTGGACATTTGGATAGATTTGAAGATTTCGTTGGAAACGGGAATATCTTCATATCAAATCTAGACAGAAGCATTCTCAGAAACGTCTTTGCGATGTTTGCATTCAACTCATAGAGTTGAACATTCCGTTTCAGAGAGCAGCTTTGAGGCACTCTTTTTGTAGTATGTGCAAGTGGATATTTAGAGCGCTCTGAGGCCTACGGTGAAAAAGCAAATATCTTCCCATAACCACTAGACAGAAACATTCTCAGAAACTCCTTTATGACGTATGCACTCACCTAACAGAGAATAACCTTCCTTTTGACAGAGCATTTTTGATACACTCTTTTTGTAGCATCTGCAAGTGGATATTTGGATAGCTGTGAAGATTTCGTTGGAAACGGGAATATCTTCCTATAAAATCTAGACAGAAGCATTCTCAGGAACTGCTCTGCGATGTCTGTATTCAAGTCACAGAGTTGAACATTGCCTTTCATAGAGCAGGTTTGAAACGCTCTTTTTGTAGTATATGGAAGTAGACGTTTCGGACGGTTTGAGGCCCATGGTGATAAAGGGAATATCTTCCCCTACAAGCTAGAAAGAAGCATTCTGTGAAACTTGTTTGTGATGTGTGTACTCAACTAACAGAGTTGAAGCTTTCTTTTTACAGAGCAGTTTTGAAACACTCTTTTTGTAGAATCTGCGAGGGGATATTTGGATAGATTTCAGGATTTCGTTGGAAACGGGAATATCTTCATATAAAATCTCGACAGAAGCATTCTCAGAAACTTCTTTGTGATATCTGCATTCAAGCCACAGAGTTGAATATTCCCTTTCACAGAGTAGGGTTGAAACACTCTTTTTGTAGTATCTGGAAGTGGACATTTGCAGCGCCTTGACACCTACGGTGAAAAGGGAAATATCTTCCCATAAAAACTAGACAGAAGCAATCTCAGAATCTTCTTTGGGATATATGTACGCAGCTAATAGAGTTGAACCTTTCTATTGACAGAGCAGTTTTGAAACAGTCTTTCTGTGGAATCTGCAAGTAGATATTTGGATAGCTTGGAGGATTTCGTTGGAAACGGGATTACGTATAAAAAGTAGACAGCAGCATCCTCAGAAACTTCTTTGTGATGTGTGCATTCAAGTCACAGAGTTGAACATTCCCTTTCGTACAGCAGTTTTGAAACACTCTTTCTGTAGTATCTGGAAGTGAACATTAGGACAGCCTTCAGGTCTATGGTGAGAAAGGAAATATCTTCAAATAAAAACTAGACAGAAGCATTCTGATAAACTTGTTTGTGAAGTGTGATCTCAGCTAACAGAGGTGGATCTTTCTTTTGATAGAGCAGTTCTGAAAAACACTTTGTTGAATCTGCAAGTGGACATTTGGATAGATTTGAAGATTTCGTTGGAAACGGGAATATCTTCATATCAAATACTAGACAGAAGCATTCTCAGAAACGTCTTTGTGATGTTTGCATTCAACTCATAGAGTTGAACATTCCCTTTCAGAGAGCAGCTTTGAAGCACTCTTTTTGTAGTATGTGCAAGTGGATATTTGGAGCGCTCTGAGGCCTACGGTGAAAAAGCAAATATCTTCCCATAACCACAAGACAGAAACATTCTCAGAAACTCCTTTATGACGTATGCACTCACCTAACAGAGAAGAGCCTTCCTTTTGACAGAGCAGTTTTGATACACTCTTTTTGTAGAATCTGCAAGTGGATATTTGGATAGCTGTGAAGATTTCGTTGGAAACGGGAATATCTTCCTATAAAATCTAGACAGAAGCATTCTCAGAAACTGCTCTGTGATGTCTGCATTCAAGTCACAGAGTTGAACATTGCCTTTCCTAGAGCAGGTTTGAAACGCTCTTTTTGTAGTATATGGAAGTGGACGTTTCCGACGGTTTGAGGCCCATGGTGATAAAGGGAATATCTTCCCCTACAAGCTAGAAAGAAGCATTCTGTGAAACTTGTTTGTGATGTGTGTACTCAACTAACAGAGTTGAACCTTGCTTTTCACAGAGCAGTTTTGAAACACTCTTTTTGTAGAATCTGCGAGCGGATATTTGGATAGATTTCAGGATTTCGTTGGAAACGGGAATATCTTCATATAAAATCTCGACAGAAGCATTCTCAGAAACTTCTTTGTGATATGTGCATTCAAGTCACAGAGTTGAATATTCCCTTTCACAGAGTAGGTTTGAAACACTCTTTTTGTAGTATCTGGAAGTGGATATTTGGAGCACCTTGACACCTACGGTGAAAAGGGAAATATCTTCCCATAAAAACTAGACAGAAGCAATCTCAGAATCTTCTTTGGGATATATGCACGCAGCTAACAGAGTTGAACCTTTCTATTGACAGAGCAGTTTAGAAACAGTCTTTCTGTGGAATCTGCAAGTGGATATTTGGATAGATTGGAGGATTTCGTTGGAAACGGGATTACGTATAAAAAGTAGACAGCAGCATCCTCAGAAACATCCTTGTGATGTGTGCATTCAAGTCACAGAGTTGAACATTCCCTTTCGTACAGCAGTTTTGAAACACTCTTTCTGTAGTATCTGGAAGTGAACTTTAGGACAGCTTTCAGGTCTATAGTGAGAAAGGATATATCTTCAAATAAAAACTAGACGGAAGCATTCTCATAAACTTGTTTGTGATGTGTGAACTCAGCTAACAGACGTGGATCTTTCTTTTGATACAGCAGTTTTGAAAAACACTTTTTGTTGAATCTGCAAGTGGACATTTGGATAGATTTGAAGATTTCGTTGGAAACGGGAATATCTTCATATCAAATCTAGACAGAAGCATTCTCAGAAACGTCTTTGTGATGTTTGCATTCAACTCATAGCGAGTTGAACATTCCCTTTCAGAGAGCAGCTTTGAAGCACTCTTTTTGTAGTATGTGCAAGTGGATATTTGGAGCGCTCTGAGGCCTACGGGGAAAAAGCAAATATCTTCTCCATAACCACTAGACAGGAACATTCTCAGAAATTCCTTTATGACGTATGCACTCACGTAACAGAGAAGAACCTTCCTTTTGACAGAGCAGTTTTGATACACTCTTTTTGTAGAATCTGCAAGTGGATATTTGGATACCTGTGAAGATTTCGTTGGAAACGGGAATATCTTCCTATAAAATCTAGACAGAAGCATTCTCAGAAACTGCTCTGTGATGTCTGCATTCAAGTCACAGAGTTGAACATTGCCTTTCATAGAGCAGGTTTGAAACACTCTTTTTGTAGTATATGGAAGTGGACGTTTCGGACGGTTTGAGGCCCATGGTGATTTGGGGAATATCTTCCCCTACAAGCTAGAAAGAAGCATTCTGTGAAACTTGTTTGTGATGTGTGTACTCAACTAACAGAGTTGAACCTTTCTTTTTACAGAGCAGTTTTGAAACACTCTTTCTGTAGAATCTGCGAGGGGATATTTGGATAGATTTCAGCATTTCGTTGGAAACGGGAATATCTTCATATAAAATCTCGACAGAAGCATTCTCAGAAACTTCTTTGTGATAACTGCATTCAAGTCACAGAGTTGAATATTCCCTTTCACCGAGTAGGTTTGAAACACTCTTTTTGTAGTATCTGGAAGTGGACATTTGGAGCGCCATGACGCCTACGGTGAAAAGGGAAATATCTTCCAATAAAAACTAGACAGAAGCAATTTCAGAATCTTCTTTGGGATATATGCACGCAGCTAACAGAGTTGAACCTTTCTATTGACAGAGCAGTTTTGAAACAGTCTTTCTGTGGAATCTGCAAGCGGATATTTGGATAGTTGGAGGATTTCGTTGGAAACGGGATTACGTATAAAAAGTAGACAGCAGCATCCTGAGAAACTTACTTTGTGATGTGTGCATTCAAGTCACAGAGTTGAACATTCCCTTTCGTACAGCAGTATTGAAACACTCTTTCTGTAGTATCTGGAAGTGAACATTAGGACAGCTTTCAGGTCTATGGTGAGAAAGGAAATATCTTCAAATAAAAAGTAGACAGAAGCATTCTCATAAACTTGTTTGTGATGTGTGAACTCAGCTAAGAGACGTGGATCTTTCTTTTGATAGAGCAGTTCTGAAAAACACTTTTTGTTGAATCTGCAAGTGGACATTTGGATAGATTTGAAGATTTCGTTGGAAACGGGAATATCTTCATATCAAATCTAGACAGAAGCATTCTCAGAAACGTCTTTGTGATGTTTGCATTCAACTCATAGAGTTGAACATTCCGTTTCAGAGAACAGCTTTGAAGCACTCTTTTTGTAGTATGTGCAAGTGGATATTTGGAGCGCTCTGAGGCCTACGGTGAAAAAGCAAATATCTTCCCATAACCACTAGACAGAACCATTCTCAGAAACTCCTTTATGACGTATGCACTCACCTAACAGAGAAGAACCTTCCTTTTGACAGAGCACTTTTGATACACTCTTTTTGTAGAATCTGCAAGTGGATATTTGGATAGCTGTGAAGATTTCGTTGGAAACGGGAATATCTTCCTATAAAATCTAGACAGAAGTATTCTCAGAAACTGCTCTGAGATGTCTGCATTCAAGTCACAGAGTTGAACATTGCCTTTCATAGAGCAGGTGTGAAACGCTCTTTTTGTAGTATATGGAAGTGGATGTTTCGGACGGTTGGAGGCCCATGGTGATAAAGGGAATATCTTCCCCTACAAGCTAGAAAGAAGCATTCTGTGAAACTTGTTTGTGATGTGTGTACTCAACTAACAGGGTTGAACCTTTCTTTTTACAGAGCAGTTTTGAAACACTCTTTTTGTAGAATCTGCGAGGGGATATTTGGATAGATTTCAGGATTTCTTTGGAAACGGGAATATCTTCATATAAAATCTCGACAGAAGCATTCTCAGAAACTTCTTTGTCATATGTGCATTCAAGTCACAGAGTTGAATATTCCCTTTCACAGAGTAGGTTTGAAACACTCTTTTTGTAGTATCTGGAAGTGGACATTTGGAGCGCCTTGACGCCTACGGTGAAAAGGGAAATATCTTCCCATAAAAACTAGACAGAAGCAATCTCGGAATCTTCTTTGGGATATATGCACGCAGCTAACAGAGTTGAACCTTTCTATTGACAGAGCAGTTTTGAAACAGTCTTTCTGTAGAATCTGCAAGTGGATATTTGGATAGCTTGGAGGATTTCGTTGGAAACGGGATTACGTATAAAAAGTAGACAGCAGCATCCTCAGAAACTTCTTTGTGATGTGTGCATTCAAGTCACAGAGTTGAACATTCCCTTTCGTACAGCAGTTTTGAAACACTCTTTCTGTAGTATCTGGAAGTGAACATTAGGACAGCTTTCAGCTCTATGGTGAGAAACGAAATATCTTCAAATAAAAACTAGACAGAAGCATTCTCATAAACTTGTTTGTGATGTGTGAACTCAGCTAACAGAGGTGGATCTTTCTTTTGATAGAGCAGTTCTGAAAACCACTTTTTGTTGAATCTGCAAGTGGACATTTGGATAGATTTGAAGATTTCGTTGGAAACGGGAATATCTTCATATCAAATCTAGACAGAAGCATTCTCAGAAACGTCTTTGCGATGTTTGCATTCAACTCATAGAGTTGAACATTCCGTTTCAGAGAGCAGCTTTGAGGCACTCTTTTTATAGTATGTGCAAGTGGATATTTGGAGCGCTCTGAGGCCTACGGTGAAAAAGCAAATATCTTCCCATAACCACTAGACAGAAAGCATTCTCAGAAACTGCTCTGTGATGTCTGCATTCAAGTCACAGAGTTGAACATTGCCTTTCATAGAGCAGGTTTGAAATGCTCTTTTTGTAGTATATGGAAGTGGACTTTTCGGACGGTTTGAGGCCCATGGTGATAAAGGGAATATCTTCCCCTACAAGCTAGAAAGAAGCATTCTGTGAAACTTGTTTGTGATGTGTGTACTCAACTAACAGAGTTGAACATTTCTTTTCACAGAGCAGTTTTGAAACACTCTTTTTGTAGAATCTGCGAGCGGATATTTGGATAGATTTCAGGATTTCGTTGGAAACGGGAATATCTTCCTATAAAATCTAGACAGAAGCATTCTCAGAAACTTCTTTGTGATATGTGCATTCAAGTCACAGATTTGAATGTTCCCTTTCACAGAGAAGGTTTGAAACACTCTTTTTCTAGTATCTGGAAGTGGACATTTGGAGCGCCTTGACGCCTACGGTGAAAAGGGAAATATCTTCCCATAAAAACTAGACAGAAGCAATCTCAGAATCTTCTTTGGGATATATGCACGCAGCTAACAGAGTTGAACCATTCTATTGACTGAGCAGATTTGAAACAGTCTTTCTGTGGAATCTGCAAGTGGATATTTGGATAGATTGGAGGATTTCGTTGGAAACGGGATTACGTATAAAAAGTAGACAGCAGCATCCTCAGAAACTTCTTTGTGATGTGTGCATTCAAGTCACAGAGTTGAATATTCCCTTTCGTACAGCAGTTTTGAAACACTCTTTCTGTAGTATCTGGAAGTGAACATTAGGACAGCTTTCAGGTCTATGGTGAGAAAGGAAATATCTTCAAATAAAAACTAGACAGAAAGCATTCTCATAAACTTGTTTGTGATGTGTGAACTCAGCTAACAGAGGTGGATCTTTCTTTTGATAGAGCAGTTCGGAAAAACACTTTTTGTTGAATCTGCAAGTGGACATTTGGATAGATTTGAAGATTTCGTTGGAAACGGGAATATCTTTATATCAAATCTAGACAGAAGCATTCTCGGAAACGTCTTTGTCATGTTTGCATTCAACTCATAGAGTTGAACATTCCGTTTCAGAGAGCAGCTTTGAAGCACTCTTTTTATAGTATGTGCAAGGGGATATTTGGAGTGCTCTGAGGCCTAAGGTGAAAAAGCAAATATCTTCCCATAACCACTAGACAGAAACATTCTCAGAAACTCCTTTATGACGTATGCACTCACCTAACAGAGAAGAACCTTCCTTTTGACAGAGCAGTTTTGATACACTCTTTTTATAGAATCTGCAAGTGGATATTTGGATAGCTGTGAAGATTTCGTTGGAAACGGGAATATCTTCCTATAAAATCTATACAGAAGCATTCTCAGAAACTGCTCTGTGATGTCTGCATTCAAGTCACAGAGTTGAACATTGCCTTTCCTAGAGCAGGTTTGAAACGCTCTTTTTTAGTATATGGAAGTGGACGTTTCAGACGGTTTGAGGCCCATGGTGTTAAAGGGAATATCTTCCCCTACAAGCTAGAAAGAAGCATTCTGTGAAACTTGTTTGTGATGTGTGTACTCAACTAACAGAGTTGAACCTTTCTTTTCACAGAGCAGTTTTGAAACACTCTTTTTGTAGAATCTGCGAGGGGATATTTGGATAGATTTCAGCATTTCGTTGGAAACAGGAATATCTTCATATAAAATCTCGACAGAAGCATTCTCAGAAACTTCTTTGTGATATGTGCATTCAAGTCAGAGATTTGAATATTCCCTTTCACAGAGTAGGTTTGAAACACTCTTTTTGTAGTATCTGGAAGTGGTCATTTGGAGCGCCTTGATGCCCACGGTGAAAAGGGAAATATCTTCCCATAAAAACTAGACAGAAGCAATCTCAGAATCTTCTTTGGGATATATGCACGCAGTTAACAGAGTTGAACCTTTCTATTGACAGAGCAGTTTTGAAACAGTCTTTCTGTGGAATCTCCAAGTGGATATTTGGATAGCTTGGAGGATTTCGTTGGAAACGGGATTACGTATAAAAAGTAGACAGCAGCATCCTCAGAAACTTCTTTGTGATGTGTGCATTCAAGTCACAGGAGTTGAACATTCCCTTTCATACAGCAGTTTTGAAACACTCTTTCTGTAGTATCTGGAAGTGAACATTAGGACAGCTTTCAGCTCTATGGTGAGAAAGGAAATATCTTCAAATAAAAACTAGACAGAAGCATTCTCCTAAACTTGTTTGTGATGTGTGAACTCAGCTAACAGACGTGGATCTTTCTTTTGATACAGGAGTTTTGAAAAACACTTTTTGTTGAATCTGCAAGTGGACATTTGGATAGATTTGAAGATTTCGTTGGAAACGGGAATATCTTCATATCAAATCTAGACAGAAAGCATTCTCAGAAACGTCTTTGTGATGTTTACATTCAACTCATAGAGTTGAACATTCCCTTTCAGAGAGCAGCTTTGAAGCACTCTTTTTGTAGCATGTGCAAGTGGACATTTGGAGCGCTCTGAGGTCTACGGGGAAAAAGCAAATATCTTCCCATAACCACTAGACAGAAACATTCTCAGAAACTCCTTTATGATGTATGCACTCACCTAACAGAGAAGAACCTTCCTTTTGACAGAGCAGTTTTGATACACTCTTTTTGTAGAATCTGCAAGTGGATATTTGGATACCTGTGAAGATTTCGTTGGAAACGGGAATATCTTCCTATAAAATGTAGACAGAAGCATTCTCAGAAACTGCTCTGTGATGTCTGCATTCAAGTCACAGAGTTGAACATTACCTTTCATAGAGCAGGTTTGAAACGCTCTTTTTGTAGTATATGGAAGTGGATGTTTCGGACGGTTGGAGGCCCATGGTGATAAAGGGAATATCTTCCCCTACAAGCTAGAAAGAAGCATTCTGTGAAAGTTGTTTGTGATGTGTGTACTCAACTAACCGAGTTGAACCTTTCTTTTTACAGAGCAGTTTTGAAACACTCTTTTTGTAGAATCTGCGAGGGGATATTTGGATAGATTTCAGGATTTCGTTGGAAACGGGAATATCTTCATATAAAATCTCGACAGAAGCATTCTCAGAAACTTCTTTGTGATATCTGCATTCAAGTCACAGAGTTGAATATTCCCTTTCACAGAGTAGGTTTGAAACACTCTTTTTGTAGTATCTGGAAGTGGACATTTGGAGCGCCTTGACACCTACCGTGAAAAGGGAAATATCTTCCCATAAAAACTAGACAGAAGCAATCTCAGAATCTTCTTTGGGATATATGCACGCAGCTAACAGAGTTGAACCTTTCTATTGACAGAGCAGTTTTGAAACAGTCTTTCTGTGGAATCCGCAAGTGGATATTTGGATAGCTTGGAGGATTTCGTTGGAAACGGGATTACGTATAAAAAGTAGACAGCAGCATCCTCAGAAACTTCTTTGTGATGTGTGCATTCAAGTCACAGAGTTGAACATTCCCTTTTGTACAGCAGTTTTGAAACACTCTTTCTGTAGTATCTGGAAGTGAACATTAGGACAGCTTTCAGCTCTATGGTGAGAAAGGAAATATCTTCAAATAAAAACTAGACAGAAGCATTCTCAGTAAACGTCTTTGTGATGTTTGCATTCAACTCATAGAGTTGAACATTCCGTTTCAGAGAGCAGCTTTGAAGCACTCTTTTTGTAGTATGTGCAAGGGGATATTTGGAGCGCTCTGAGGCCTACGGTGAAAAAGCAAATATCTTCCCATAACCACTAGACAGAAACATTCTCAGAAATTCCTTTATGACGTATGCACTCACCTAACAGAGAAGAACCTTCCTTTTGACAGAGCAGTTTTGATACACTCTTTTTGTAGAATCTGCAAGTGGATATTTGGATACCTGTGAAGATTTCGTTGGAAACGGGAATAACTTCCTATAAAATCTAGACAGAAGCATTCTCAGAAACTGCTCTGTGATGTCTGCATTCAAGTCACAGAGTTGAACATTGCCTTTCATAGAGCAGGTTTGAAACACTCTTTTTGTAGTATATGGAAGTGGACGTTTCGGACGGTTTGAGGCCCATGGTGATTTAGGGAATATCTTCCCCTACAAGCTAGAAAGAAGCATTCTGTGAAACATGCTTGCGATGTGTGTACTCAACTAACAGTGTTGAACCTTTCTTTTTACAGAGCAGTTTGGAAACACTCTTTTTGTAGAATCTGCGAGGGGATATTTGGATAGATTTCAGGATTTCGTTGAAAACGGGAATATCTTCATATAAAATCTCGACAGAAGCATTCTCAGAAACTTCCTTGTGATATGTGCATTCAAGTCACAGAGTTGAATATTCCCTTTCACAGAGTAGGTTTGAAACACTCTTTTTGTAGTATCTGGAAGTGGACATTTGGAGCGCCTTGACGGCCCACGGTGAAAAGGGAAATATCTTCCCATAAAAACTAGACAGAAGCAATCTCAGAATCTTCTTTGGGATATATGCACGCAGTTAACAGAGTTGAACCTTTCTATTGACAGAGCAGTTTTGAAACAGTCTTTCTGTGGAATCTGCAAGTGGATATTTGGATAGCTTGGAGGATTTCGTTGGAAATGGGATTACGTATAAAAAGTAGACAGCAGCATCCTCAGAAACTTCTTTGTGATGTGTGCATTCAAGTCACAGAGTTGAACATTCCCTTTCGTAAAGCAGTTTTGAAACACTCTTTCTGTAGTATCTGGAAGTGAACATTAGGACAGCTTTCAGGTCTATGGTGAGAAAGGAAATATCTTCAAATAAAAACTAGACAGAAGCATTCTCATAAACTTGTTTGTGATGTGTGAACTCAGCTAACAGAGGTGGATCTTTCTTTTGATAGAGCAGTTCTGAAAAACACTTTTTGTTGAATCTGCAAGTGGACATTTGGATAGATTTGAAGATTTCTTTGGAAACGGGAATATCTATATATCAAATCTAGACAGAAGCATTCTCGAAAACGTCTTTGTGATGTTTGCATTCAACTCATAGAGTTGAACATTCCGTTTCAGAGAGCAGCTTTGAGGCACTCATTTTGTAGTATGTGCAAGTGGATATTTGGAGCGCTCTGAGGCCTTCGGTGAAAAAGCAAATATCTTCCCATAACCACTAGACAGAAACATTCTCAGAAACTCCTTTATGACGTATGTACTCAACTAACAGAGAAGAACCTTCTTTTTGACAGTGCAGTTTTGATACACTCTTTTTGTAGAATCTGCAAGTGCATATTTGGATAGCTGTGAAGATTTCGTTGGAAACGGGAATATCTTCCTATAAAATCTAGACAGAAGCATTCTCAGAAACTGCTCTGTGATGTCTGCATTCAAGTCACAGAGTTGAACATTGCCTTTCATAGAGCAGGTTTGAAACGCTCTTTTTGTAGTATATGGAAGTGGATGTTTCGGACGGTTGGAGGCCCATGGTCATAAAGGGAATATCTTCCCCTACAAGCTAGAAAGAAGCATTCTGTGAAACTTGTTTGTGATGTGTGTACTCAACTAACAGAGTTGAACCTTTCTTTTTACAGAGCAGTTTTGAAACACTCTTTTTGTAGAATCTGCGAGGGGATATTTGGATAGATTTCAGGATTTCATTGGAAACGGGAATATCTTCATATAAAATCTCGACAGAAGCATTCTCAGAAACTTCTTTGTGATATCTGCATTCAAGTCACAGAGTTGAATATTCCCTTTGACAGAGTAGGTTTGAAACACTCTTTTTGTAGTATCTGGAAGTGGACATTTGGAGCGCCTTGACACCTACGGTGAAAAGGGAAATATCTTCCCATAAAAACTAGACAGAAGCAATCTCAGAATCTTCTTTGGGATATATGCACGCAGCTAACAGAGTTGAACCTTTCTATTGACAGAGCAGTTTTGAAACAGTCTTTCTGTGGAATCTGCAAGTGGATATTTGGATAGCTTGGAGGATTTCGGTGGAAACGGGATTACGTATAAAAAGTAGACAGCAGCATCCTCAGAAACTTCTTTGTGATGTGTGCATTCAAGTCACAGAGTTGAACATTCCCTTTCGTACAGCAGTTTTGAAACACTCTTTCTGTAGTATCTGGAAGTGAACATTAGGACAGCTTTCAGGTCTATGGTGAGAAAGGAAATAACTTCAAATAAAAACTAGACAGAAGCATTCTCATAAATTTGTTTGTGATGTGTGAACTCAGCTAACAGACGTGGATCTTTCTTTTGATACAGCAGTTTTGAAAAACACTTTTTGTTGAGTCTGCATGTGGACATTTGGATAGATTTGAAGATTTCGTTGGAAACGGGAATATCTTCATATCAAATCTAGACAGAAGCATTCTCAGAAACGTCTTTGTGATGTTTGCATTCAACCCATAGAGTTGAACATTCCGTTTCAGAGAGCAGCTTTGAAGCACTCTTTTTGTAGTATGTGCAAGGGGATATTTTGAGCGCTCTGAGGCCTAAGGTGAAAAAGCAAATATCTTCCCATAACCACTAGACAGAAACATTCTCAGAAACCCCTTTATGACGTATGCACTCACCTAACAGAGAAGAACCTTCCTTTTGACTGAGCAGTTTTGATACACTCTTTTTGTAGAATCTGCAAGTGGATATTTGGATAGCTGTGAAGATTTCGTTGGAAACGGGAATATCTTCCTATAAAATCTAGACAGAAGCATTCTCAGAAACTGCTCTGTGATGTCTGCATTCAAGTCACAGAGTTGAACATTGCCTTTCATAGAGCCGGTTTGAAACGCTCTTTTTGTAGTATATGGAAGTGGATGTTTCGGACGGTTGGAGGCCCATGGTGATAAAGGGAATATCTTCCCCTACAAGCTAGAAAGAAGCATTCTGTGAAACTTGTTTGTGATGTGTGTACTCAACTAACAGAGTTGAACCTTTCTTTTTACAGAGCAGTTTTGAAACACTCTTTCTGTAGAATCTGCGAGGGGATATTTGGATAGATTTCAGGATTTCGTTGGAAACCGGAATATCTTCATATAAAATCTCGACAGAAGCATTCTCAGAAAATTCTTTGTGATATGTGCATTCAAGTCACAGAGTTGAATATTCCCTTTCACAGAGTAGGTTTGAAACACTCTTTTAGTAGTATCTGGAAGTGGACATTTGGAGCGCCTTGACGCCTACGGTGAAAAGGGAAATATCTTCCCATAAAAACTAGACAGAAGCAATCTCAGAATCTTCTTTGGGATATATGCACGCAGCTAACAGAGTTGAACCTTTCTATTGACAGAGCAGTTTTGAAACAGTCTTTCTGTGGAATCTGCAAGTGGATATTTGGATAGATTGGAGGATTTCGTTGGAAACGGGATTACGTATAAAAAGTAGACAGCAGCATCCTCAGAAACTTCTTTGTGATGTGTGCATTCAAGTCACAGGGTTGAACATTCCCTTTCGTACAGCAGTTTTGAAACACTCTTTCTGTAGTATCTGGGAGTGAACATTAGGACAGCTTTCAGGTCTATGGTGAGAAAGGAAATATCTTCAAATAAAAACTAGACAGAAGCATTCTCATAAACTTGTTTGGTGATGTGTGAACTCAGCTAACAGAGGTGGATCTTTCTTTTGATAGAGCAGTTCTGAAAAACACTTTTTGTTGAATCTGCAAGTGGACATTCGGATAGATTTGAAGATTTCATTGGAAACGGGAATATCTTCATATCAAATCTAGACAGAATCATTCCCAGAAACGTCTTTGTGATGTTTGCATTCAACTCATATAGTTGAACATTCCCTTTCAGAGAGCAGCTTTGAAGCACTCTTTTTGTAGTATGTGCAAGGGGATATTTGGAGCGCTCTGAGGCCTACGGTGAAAAAGCAAATATCTTCGCATAACCACTAGACAGAAACATTCTCAGAAACTCCTTTATGACGTATGCACTCACCTAACAGAGAAGAACCTTCCTTTTGACAGAGCAGATTTGATACACTCTTTTTATAGAATCTGCAAGTGGATATTTGGATAGCTGTGAAGATTTCGTTGGAAACGGGAATATCTTCCTATAAAATCTAGACAGAAGCATTCTCAGAAACTGCTCTGTGATGTCTGCATTCAAGTCACAGAGTTGAACATTGCCTTTCATAGAGCAGGTTTGAAACGCTCTTTTTGTAGTATATGGAAGTTGACGTTTCGGACGGTTTGAGGCCCATGGTGATAAAGGGAATATCTTCCCCTACAAGCTAGAAAGAAGCATTCTGTGAAACTTGTTTGTGATGTGTGTACTCAACTAACAGAGTTGAACCTTTCTTTTTACAGAGCAGTTTTGAAACACTCTTTTTGTAGAATCTGCGAGGGGATATTTGGATAGATTTCAGGATTTCGTTGGAAACGGGAATATCTTCAAATAAAATCTCGACAGATGCATTCTCAGAAACTTCTTTGTGATATGTGCATTCTAGTCACAGAGTTGAATATTCCCTTTCATAGAGTAAGTTTGAAACACTCTTTTTGTACTATCTGGAAGTGGACATTTGGAGCGCCTTGACGCCTACGGTGAAAAGGGAAATATCTTCCCATAAAAACTAGACAGAAGCAATCTCAGAATCTTCTTTGGGATATATGCACGCAGCTAACAGAGTTGAACCTTTCTATTGACAGAGCAGTTTTCAAACAGTCTTTCTGTGGAATCTGCAAGTGGATATTTAGATAGCTTGGAGGATTTCGTTGGTAACGGGATTACGTATAAAAATTAGCAGCATCCTCAGAAACTTCCTTGTGATGTGTGCATTCAAGACACAGAGTTGAACATTCCCTTTCGTACAGCAGTTTTGAAACACTCTTTCTGTAGTATCTGGAAGTGAACATTAGGACAGCTTTCAGGTCTATCGTGAGAAAGGAAATATCTTCACATAAAAACTAGACAGAAGCATTCTCATAAACTTGTTTGTGATGTGTGAACTCAGCTAACAGACGTGGATCTTTCTTTTGATATAGCAGTTTTGAAAAACACTTTTTGTTGAATCTGCAAGTGGACATTTGGATAGATTTGAAGATTTCGTTGGAAACGGGAATATCTTCATATCAAATCTAGACAGAAGCATTCTCAGAAACGTCTTTGTGATGTTTGCATTCAACCCATAGAGTTGAACATTCCGTTTCAGAGAGCAGCTTTGAAGCACTCTTTCTGTAGTATGTGCAAGGGGATATTTTGAGCGCTCTGAGGCCTAAGGTGAAAAAGCAAATATCTTCCCATAACCACTAGACAGAAACATTCTCAGAAACTCCTTTATGACGTATGCACTCACCTAACAGAGAAGAACCTTCCTTTTGACTGAGCAGTTTTGATACACTCTTTTTGTAGAATCTGCAAGTGGATATTTGGATAGCTGTGAAGATTTCGTTGGAAACGGGAATATCTTCCTATAAAATCTAGACAGAAGCATTCTCAGAAACTGCTCTGTGATGTCTGCATTCAAGTCACAGAGTTGAACATTGCCTTTCGTAGAGCAGGTTTGAAACGCTCTTTTTGTAGTATATGGAAGTGGACGTTTCGGACGGTTTGAGGCCCATGGTGATAAAGGGAATATCTTCCCCTACAAGCTAGAAAGAAGCATTCTGTGAAACTTGTTTGTGATGTGTGTACTCAACTAACAGAGTTGAACCTTTCTTTTTACATAGCAGTTTTGAAACACTCTTTTTGTAGAATCTGCGAGGGGATATTTGGATAGATTTCAGGATTTTGTTGGAAACGGGAATATCTTCATATAAAATCTCGACAGAAGCATTCTCAGAAACTTCCTTGTGATATGTGCATTCAAGTCACAGAGTTGAATATTCCCTTTCACAGAGTAGGTTTGAAACACTCTTTTTGTAGTATCTGGAAGTGGACATTTGGAGCGTCTTGACACCTACGGTGAAAAGGGAAATATCTTCCCATAAAAACTAGACAGAAGCAATCTCAGAATCTTCTTTGGGATATATGCACGCAGCTAACAGAGTTGAACCTTTCTATTGCCAGAGCAGTTTTGAAACAGTCTTTCTGTGGAATCTGCAAGTGGATATTTGGATAGCTTGGAGGATTTCGTTGGAAACGGGATTACGTATAAAAAGTAGACAGCAGCATCCTCAGAAACTTCTTTGTGATGTGTGCATTCAAGTCACAGAAGTTGAACATTCCCTTTCGTACAGCAGTTTTGAAACACTCTTTCTGTAGTATCTGCAAGTGAACATTAGGACAGCTTTCAGGTCTGTGGTGAGAAAGGAAATATCTTCAAATAAAAACTAGACAGAAGCATTCTCATAAACTTGTTTGTGATGTGTGAACTCAGCTTACAGAGGTGGATCTTTCTTTTGATAGAGCAGTTCTGAAAAACACTTTTTGTTGAATCTGCAAGTGGACATTTGGATAGATTTTAAGATTTCGTTGGAAACGGGAATATCTTCATATCAAATCTAGACAGAAGCATTCTCAGAAACGTCGTTGTAATGTTTGCATTCAACTCATAGAGTTGAACATTCCGATTCAGAGAGCAGCTTTGAGGCACTCTTTTTGTAGTATGTGCAAGTGGATATTTGGAGCGCTCTGAGGCCTACGGTGAAAAAGCAAATATCTTCCCATAACCACTAGACAGAAACATTCTCAGAAACTTCTTTATGACGTATGTACTCAACTAACAGAGAAGAACCTTCCTTTTGACAGAGCAGTTTTGATACACTCTTTTTGTAGAATCTGCAACTGGATATTTGGATAGCTGTGAAGAATTCGTTGGAAACGGGAATATCTTCCTATAAAATCTAAAGAAAAGCATTCTCAGAAACTGCTCTGTGATGTCTGCATTCAAGTCACAGAGTTGAACATTGCCTTTCATAGAGCAGGTTTGAAACGCTCTTTTTGTAGTATATGGAAGTTGACGTTTCACACGGTTTGAGGCCCATGGTGATAAAGGAAATATCTTCCCCTACAAGCTAGAAAGAAGCATTGTGTGAAACTTGTTTGTGATGTGTGTACTCAACTAACAGAGTTGAACCTTTCTTTTTACAGAGTAGTTTTGAAACACTCTTTTTGTAGAATCTGCGCGGGGATATTTGGATACATTTCAGGATTTCGTTGGAAACGGGAATATCTTCATATAAAATCTCGACAGAAAGCATTCTCAGAAACTTCTTTGTGATATGTGCATTCAAGTCACAGAGTTGAATATTCCCTTTCACAGAGTAGGTTTGAAACACTCTTTTTGTAGTATCTGGAAGTGGACATTTGGAGCGCCTTGACACCTACGGTGAAAAGGGAAGTATCTTCCCATCAAAACTAGACAGAAGCAATCTCAGAATCTTCTTTGGGATATATGCACGCAGCTAACAGAGTTGAACCTTTCTATTGACAGAGCAGTTTTGAAACAGTCTTTCTGTGGAATCTGCAAGTGGATATTTGGATAGCTTGGAGGATTTCGTTGGAAACGGGATTATGTATAAAAAGTAGACAGCAGCATCCTCAGAAACTTCTTTGTGATGTGTGCATTCAAGTCACAGAGTTGAACATTCCCTTTCGTACAGCAGTTTTGAAACACTCTTTCTGTAGTATCTGGAAGTGAACATTAGGACAGCTTTCAAGTCTATGGTGAGAAAGGAAACATCTTCAAATAAAAACTAGACAGACGCATTCTCATAAACTTGTTTGTGATGTGTGAACTCAGCTAACAGAGGTGGATCTTTCTTTTGATAGAGCAGTTCTGAAAAACACTTTTTGTTGAATCTGCAAGTGGACATTTGGATAGATTTGAAGATTTCGTTGGAAACGGGAATATCTTCATATCAAATCTAGACAGAAGCATTGTCAGAAACGTCTTTGTCATGTTTGCATTCAACTCATAGAGTTGAACATTCCCTTTCAGAGAGCAGCTTTGAAACACTCTTTTTGTAGTATGTGCAAGTGGATATTTGGAGCGCTTTGAGGCCTACGGGGAAAAAGCAAATATCTTCCCATAACCACTAGACAGAAACATTCTCAGAAACTCCTTTATGACGTATGCACTCACCTAACAGAAAAGAACCTTCCTTTTGACAGAGCAGTTTTGATACACTCTTTTTGTAGAATCTGCAAGTGGATATTTGGATAGCTGTGAAGATTTCGTTGGAAACGGGAATATCTTCCTATAAATCTAGACAGAAGCATTCTCAGGAACTGCTCTGTGATGTCTGCATTCAAGTCACAGAGTTGAACATTGCCTTAACTAGAGCAGGTTTGAAACGCTCTTTTTGTAGTATATGGAAGTGGACGTTTCGGACGTTTTGAGGCCCATGGTGATGAAGGGAATATCATCCCCTACAAGCTAGAAAGAAGCATTGTGTGAAACTTGTTTGTGATGTGTGTACTCAACTAACAGAGTTGAACCTTTCTTTTTACAGAGCAGTTTTGAAACACTCTTTTTGTAGAATCTGCGAGGGGATATTTGGATACATTTCAGGATTTCGTTGGAAACGGGAATATCTTCATATAAAATCTCGACAGAAGCATTCTCAGAAACTTCTTTGTGATATCTGCCTTCAAGTCACAGAGTTGAATATTCCCTTTCACACAGTAGGTTTGAAACACTCTTTTTGTAGTATCTGGAAGTGGACATTTGGAGCGCCTTGACACCTACGGTGAAAAGGGAAATATCTTCCCATAAAAACTAGACAGAAGCAATCTCAGAATCTTCTTTGGGATATATGCACGCAGCTAACAGAGTTGAACCTTTCTATTGACAGAGCAGTTTTGAAACAGTCTTTCTGTGGAATCTGCAAGTGGATATTTGGATAGCTTGGAGGATTTCGTTGGAAAAGGGATTACGTATAAAAAGTAGACAGCAGCATCCTCAGAAACTTCTTTGTGATGTGTGCATTCAAGTCACAGAGTTGAACATTCCCTTTCGTACAGCAGTATTGAAACACTCTTTCTGTAGTATCTGGAAGTGAACATTAGGACAGCTTTCAGGTCTATGGTGAGAAAGGAAATATCTTCAAATAAAAACTAGACAGAAGCATTCTCATAAACTTGTTTGTGATGTATGAACTCAGCTAACAGAGGTGGATCTATCTTTTGATAGAGCAGTTCTGAAAAACACTTTTTGTTGAATCTGCAAGTGGACATTTGGATAGTTTTGAAGATTTCGTTGGAAACGGGAATATCTTCATATCAAATCTAGACAGAAGCATTCTCAGAAACGTCTTTGTGATGTTTGCATTCAACCCATAGAGTTGAACATTCCCTTTCAGAGAGCAGCTTTGAAGCACTCTTTTTGTAGTATGTGCAAGGGGATATTTGGAGCGCTCTGAGGCCTAAGGTGAAAAATCAAATATCTTCCCATAACCACTAGACAGAAACATTCTCAGAAACTTCTTTATGACGTATGTACTCAACTAGCAGAGAAGAACTTTCCTTTTGACACAGCTTTTTGGATACACTCTTTTTGTAGTATCTGCATGTGGATATTTGATTAGCTGTGAAGATTTCGTTGGAATCGGGAATATCTTCCTATAAAGTCTGGACAGAAGCATTCTCAGAAACTGCTCTGTGATGTCTGCATTCAGGTCACAGAGTTGAACATTGCCTTTCATAGAGCAGGTTTAAAACACTCTTTTTTTACTATATGGAAGTGGACGTTTCGGACGGTTTGAGGCCCATGGTGATAAAGGAAATATCTTCCCCTAGAAGCAAGAAAGAAGCATTCTGTGAAACTTGTTTGTGATGTGTGTACTCAACTAACAGAGTTGAACCTTTCTTTTTACAGAGCAGTTTTGAAACACTCTTTTTGTAGAATCTGCGAGGGGATATTTGGATAGATTTCAGGATTTCTTTGGAAACGGGAATATCTTCATATAAAATACTCGACAGAAGCATTCTCAGAAACTTCTTTGTGATATCTGCATTCAAGTCAGAGAGTTGAATATTCCCTTTCACAGAGTAGGTTTGAAACACTCTTTTTGTAGTATCTGGAAGTGGACATTTGGAGCGCCTTGACACCTACGGTGAAAAGGGAAATATCTTCCCATAAAAACTAGACAGAAGCAATCTCAGAATCTTCTCTGGGATATATGCACGCAGCTAACAGAGTTGAACCTTTCTATTGACAGAGCAGTTTTGAAACAGTCTTTCTGTGGAATCTGCAAGTGGATATTTGGATAGCTTGGAGGATTTCGTTGGAAACGGGATTACGTACAAAAAGTAGACAGCAGCATCCTCAGAAACTTCTTTGTGATGTGTGCATTCAAGTCACAGAGTTGAACATTCCCTTTCATAGAGCAGTTTTGAAACACTGTTTCTGTAGTATCTGGAAGTGAACATTAGGACAGCTTTCAGGTCTATGGTGAGAAAGGAAATATCTTCAAATAAAAACTAGACAGAAGCATTCTCATAAACTTGTTTGTGATGTGTGAACTCAGCTAACAGACGTGGATCTTTCTTTTGATACAGCAGTTTTGAAAAACACATTTTGTTGAATCTGCAAGTGGACATTTGGATAGATATGAAGATTTCGTTGGAAACGGGAATATATTCATATCAAATCTAGACAGAAGCATTCTCAGAAACGTCTTTGTGATGTTTGCATTCAACTCATAGAGTTGAACATTCCCTTTCAGAGAGCAGCTTTGAAGCACTCTTTTTGTAGCATGTGCAAGTGGACATTTGGAGCGCCCTGAGGCCTACGGGGAAAAAGCAGATATCTTCCCATAACCACTAGACAGAAACATTCTCAGAAACTCCTTTATGATGTATGCACTCACCTAACGGAAAAGAACCTTCCTTTTGACAGAGCAGTTTTGATACACTCTTTTTGTAGAATCTGCAAGTGGATATTTGGATAGCTGTGAAGATTTCGTTGGAAACGGGAATATCTTCCTATAAAATCTAGACAGAAGCATTCTCAGAAACTGCTCTGTGATGTCTGCATTCAAGTCACAGAGTTGAACATTGCCTTTCATAGAGCAGGTTTGAAATGTTCTTTTTGTAGTATATGGAAGTGGACGTTTCAGACGGTTTGAGGCCGATGGTGATAAAGGGAATATCTTCCCCTACAAGCTAGAAAGAAGCATTCTGTGAAACTTGTTTGTGATGTGTGTACTCAAGTAACAGAGTTGAACCTTTCTTTTTACAGAGCAGTTTTGAAACACTCTTTTTGTAGAATCTGCGAGGGGATATTTGTATAGATTTCAGGATTTCGTTGGAAACGGGAATATCTTCATATAAAATCTCGACAGAAGCATTCTCAGAAACTTCATTGTGATATCTGCATTCAAGTCACAGAGTTGAATATTCCCTTTCACAGGGTAGGTTTGAAACACTCTTTTTGTAGTATCTGTAAGTGGACATTTGGAGCGCCTTGACACCTAAAGTGAAAAGGGAAATATCTTCCCATAAAAACTAGACAGAAGCAATCTCAGAATCTTCTTTGGGATATATGCACGCAGCTAACAGAGTTGAACCTTTCTATTGACAGAGCAGTTTTGAAACAGTCTTTCTGTGGAATCTGCAAGTGGATATTTGGATAGCTTGGAGGATTTCTTTGGAAACGGGATTACGTATAAAAAGTAGACAGCAGCATCCTCAGAAACTTCTTTGTGATGTATGCATTCAAGTCCCAGAGTTGAACATTCCCTTTCGTACAGCAGTTTTGAAACACTCTTTCTGTAGTATCTGGAAGTGAACATTAGGACAGATTTCAGGTCTATGGTGAGAAAGGAAATATCTTCAAATAAAAAGTAGACAGAAGCATTCTCATAAACTTGTTTGTGATGTGTGAACTCAGCTAACAGAGGTGGATCTTTCTTTTGATAGAGCAGTTCTGAAAAACACTTTTTGTTGAATCTGCAAGTGGACATTTGGATAGATTTGAAGATTTCGTTGGAAACGGGAATATCTTCATATCAAATCTAGACAGGAAAGCATTCTCAGAAACGTCTTTGTGATGTTTGCATTCAACTCACAGTATTTGAACATTCCCTTTCAGAGAGCAGCTTTGAAGCACTCTTTTTGTAGTATGTGCAAGGGGATATTTGGAGCGCTCTGAGGCCTACGGTGAAAAAGCAAATATCTTCCCATAACCACTAGACAGAAACATTCTCAGAAACTTCTTTATGACGTATGTACTCAACTAGCAGAAAAGAACTTTCCTTTTGACAGAGCTTTTTTGATACACTCTTTTTGTAGTATCTGCAAGTGGATATTTGGATAGCTGTGAAGATTTCTTTGGAATCGGGAATATCTTCCTATAAAGTCTGGACAGAAGCATTCTCAGAAACTGCTCTGTGATGTCTGCATTCAAGTCACAGAGTTGAACATTGCCTTTCATAGAGCAGGTTTCAAACACTCTTTTTTTAGTATATGGAAGTGGACGTTTCGGACGGTTTGAGGCCCATGGTGATAAAGGAAATATCTTCCCCTACAAGCTAGAAAGAAGCATTGTGTGAAACTTGTTTGTGATGTGTGTACTCAACTAACAGAGTTGAACCTTTCTTTTTACAGAGCAGTTTTGAAACACTCTTTTTGTAGAATCTGCAAGGGGATATTTGGATAGATTTCAGGATTTCGTTGGACACGGGAATATCTTCATATAAAATCTCGACAGAAGCATTCTCAGAAACTTGTTTGTGATATGTGCATTCAAGTCACAGAGTTGAATATTCCCTTTCACAGAGTAGGTTTGAAACACTCTTTTTGTAATATCTGGAAGTGGACATTTGGAGCGCCTTGACGCCTACGGTGAAAAGGGAAATATCTTCCCATAAAAACTAGACAGAAGCAATCTCAGAATCTTCTTTGGGATATATGCACGCAGCTAACAGAGTTGAACCTTTCTATTGACAGAGCAGTTTTGAAATAGTCTTTCTGTGGAATCTGCAAGTAGATATTTGGATAGCTTGGAGGATTTCGTTGGAAACGGGATTACGTATAAAAAGTAGACAGCAGCATCCTCAGAAACTTCTTTGTGATGTGTGCATTCAAGTCACAGAGTTGAACATTCCCTTTCGTACAGCAGTTTTGAAACACTCTTTCTGTAGTATCTGGAAGTGAACATTAGGACAGCTTTCAGCTCCATGGTGAGAAAGGAAATATCTTCAAATAAAAACTAGACAGAAGCATTCTCATAAACTTGTTTGTGATGTGTGAACTCAGCTAACAGAGGTGGATCTTTCTTTTGATAGAGCAGTTCTGAATAACACTTTTTGTTGAATCTGCAAGTGGACATTTGGATAGATTTGAAGATTTCGTTGGAAACGGGAATATCTTCATATCAAATCTAGACAGAAACATTCTCAGAAACGTCTTTGTGATGTTTGCATTCAACTCATGGAGTTGAACATTCCCTTTCAGAGAGCAGCTTTGAAGCACTCTTTTTGTAGTATGTGCAAGTGGATATTTGGAGCGCTCTGTGGCCTACGGGGAAAAAGCAAATATCTTCCCATAACCACTAGACAGAAACATTCTCAGAAACTCCTTTATGACGTATGTACTCAACTAACAGAGAAGAACCTTCTTTTTGACAGAGCAGTTTTGATACACTCTTTTTGTAGAATCTCCAAGTGGATATTTGGATAGCTGTGAAGATTTCGTTGGAAACGGGAATATCTTCCTATAAAATCTAGACAGAAGCATTCTCAGAAACTGCTCTGTGATGTCTGCATTCAAGTCACAGAGTTGAACATTGCCTTTCATAGAGCAGGTTTGAAACGCTCTTTTTGTAGTATATAAAAGTGGACGTTTCGGACGGTTTGAGGCCCATGGTCATAAAGGGAATATCTTCCCCTACAAGCTAGAAAGAAGCATTCTGTGAAACTTGTTTGTGATGTGTGTACTCAACTAACAGAGTTGAACCTTTCTTTTTACAGAGCAGTTTTGAAACACTCTTTTTGTAGAATCTGCGAGGGGATATTTGGATAGATTTCAGGATTTCGTTGGAAACGGGAATATCTTTATATAAAATCTCGACAGAAGCATTCTCAGAAACTTCTTTGTGATATGTGCATTCAAGTCACAGAGTTGAATATTCCCTTTCACAGAGTAGGTTTGAAACACTCTTTTTGTAGTATCTGGAAGTGGACATTTGGAGCGCCTTGACACCTACGGTGAAAAGGGAAATATCTTCCCATAAAAACTAGACAGAAAGCAATCTCAGAATCTTCTTTGGGATATATGCACGCAGCTAACAGAGTTGAACCTTTCTATTGACAGAGCAGTTTTGAAACAGTCTTTCTGTGGAATCTGCAAGTGGATATTTGGATAGCTTGGAGGATTTCGTTGGAAACGGGATTAAGTATAAAAAGTAGACAGAGCATCCTCAGAAACTTCTTTGTGATGTGTGCATTCAAGTCACAGAGTTGAACATTCCCTTTCGTACAGCAGTGTTGAAACACTCTTTATGTAGTATCTGGAAGTGAACATTAGGACAGCTTTCAGGTCTATGGTGAGAAAGGAAATATCTTCAAATAAAAACTAGACAGAAGCATTCTCATAAACTTGTTTGTGATGTGTGAACTCAGCTAACAGAGGTGGATCTTTCTTTTGATAGAGCAGTTCTGAAAAACACTTTTTGTTGAATCTGCAAGTGGACATTTGGATAGATTTGAATATTTCGTTGGTAACGGGAATATCTTCATATCAAATCTAGACAGAAGCATTCTCAGAAACGTCTTTGCGATGTTTGCATTCAACTCATAGAGTTGAACATTCCGTTTCAGAGAGCAGCTTTGAGGCAATCTTTTTGTAGTATGTGCAAGTGGATATTTGGAGCGCTCTGAGGCCTACGGTGAAAAAGCAAATATCTTCCCATAACCACTAGACAGAAACATTCTCAGAAACTCCTTTATGACGTATGCACTCACCTAACAGAGAAGAACCTTCCTTTTGACAGAGCAGTTTTGATACACTCTTTTTGTAGAATCTGCAAGTGGATATTTGGATAGCTGTGAAGATTTCATTGGAAACGGGAATATCTTCCTATAAAATCTAAACAGAAGCATTCTCAGAAACTGCTCTGTGATGTCTGCATTCAAGTCACAGAGTTGAACATTGCCTTTCATAGAGCAGTTTTGAAACGCTCTTTTTGTACTATATGGAAGAGGACGTTTCGGACGGTTTGAGGCCCATGGTGATAAAGGGAATATCTTCCCCTACAAGCTAGAAAGAAGCATTCTGTGAAACTTGTTTGTGATGTGTGTACTCAACTAACAGAGTTGAACCTTTCTTTTTACAGAGCAGTTTTGAAACACTCTTCTTGTAGAATCTGCGAGGGGATATTTGGATAGATTTCAGGATTTTGTTGGAAACGGGAATATCTTAATATAAAATCTCGACAGAAGCATTCTCAGAAGCTTCTTTGTGATATGTGCATTCAAGTCACAGAGTTGAATATTCCCTTTCACCGAGTAGGTTTGAAACACTCTTTTTGTAGTATCTGGAAGTGGACATTTGGAGCGCCTTGACGCCTACGGTGAAAAGGGAAATATCTTCCCATAAAAACTAGACAGAAGCAATCTCAGAATCTTCTTTGGGATATATGCACGCAGCTAACAGAGTTGAACCTTTCTATTGACAGAGCAGTTTTGAAACAGTCTTTCTGTGGAATCTGCAAGTGGGATATTTGGATAGCTTGGAGGATTTCGTTGGAAACGGGATTAAGTATAAAAAGTAGACAGCAGCCTCCTCAGAAACTTCTCTGTGATGTGTGCATTCAAGTCACAGAGTTGAACATTCCCTTTCGTACAGCAGTTTTGAAACACTCTTTCTGTAGTATCTGGAAGTGAACATTAGGACAGCTTTCAGGTCTATGGTGAGAAAGGAAATATATTCAAATAAAAACTAGACAGAAGAATTCTCATCAACTTGTTTGTGATGTGTGAACTCAGCTAACACACGTGGATCTTTCTTTTGATAGAGCAGTTCTGAAAAACACTTTGTTGAATCTGCAAGTGGACATTTGGATAGATTTCAAGATTTCGTTGGAAACGGGAATATCTTCATATCAAATCTAGACAGAAGCATCCTCAGAAACGTCTTGTGATGTTTGCATTCAACTCATAGAGTTGAACATTCCGTTTCAGAGAGCAGCTTTGAAGCACTCTTTTTGTAGTATGTGCAAATGGATATTTGGATCGCTGTGAGGCCTAAGGTGAAAAAGCAAATATCTTCCCATAACCACTAGACAGAAACATTCTCAGAAACTCCTTTATGACGTATGCACTCACCTAACAGAGAAGAACCTTCCTTTTGACAGAGCAATTTTGATACACTCTTTTTGTAGAATCTGCAAGTGGATATTTGGATAGCTGTGAAGATTTCGTTGGAAACGGGAATATCTTCCTATAAAATCTAGACAGAAGCATTCTCAGAAACTGCTCTGTGATGTCTGCATTCAAGTCACAGAGTTGAACATTGCCTTTCATAGAGCAGGTTTGAAACGCTCTTTTTGTAGTATATGGAAGTGGACATTTCGGACGGTTTGAGGCCCATGGTGATAAAGGGAATATCTTCCCCTACAAGCTAGAAAGAAGCATTCTGTGAAACTTGTTTGTGATGTGTGTACTCAAGTAACAGAGTTGAACCTTTCTTTTTACAGAGCAGTTTTGAAACACTCTTTTTGTAGAATCTGCGAGGGGATATTTGGATAGATTTCAGGATTTCGTTGGAAACGGGAATATCTTCATACAAAATCTCGACAGAAGCATTCTCAGAAACTTCTTTGTGATATCTGCCTTCAAGTCACAGAGTTGAATATTCCCTTTCTCAGAGTAGGTATGAAACACTCTTTTTGTAGTATCTGGAAGTGGACATTTGGAGCGACTTGACACCTACGGTGAAAAGGGAAATATCTTCCCATAAAAACTAGACAGAAGCAATCTCAGAATCTTCTTTGGGATATATGCACGCAGCTAACAGAGTTGAACCTTTCTATTGACCGAGCAGTTTTGAAACAGTCTTTCTGTGGAATCTGCAAGTGGATATTTTGATAGTTGGAGGATTTCGTTGGAAACGGGATTACGTATAAAAAGTAGACAGCCGCATCCTCAGAAACTTCTTTGTGATGTGTGCATTCAAGTCACAGAGTTGAACATTCCCTTTCGTACAGCAGTTTTGAAACACTCTTTCTGTAGTATCTGGAAGTGAACATTAGGACAGCTTTCAGGTCGATGGTGAGAAAGGAAATATCTTCAAATAAAAACTAAACAGAAGCATTCTCATAAACTTGTTTGTGATGTGTGAACTCAGCTAACAGACGTGGATCTTTCTTTTGATACAGCAGTTTTGAAAAACACTTTTTGTTGAATCTGCAAGTGGACATTTGGATAGATTTGAAGATTTCCGTTGGAAACGGGAATATCTTCATATCAAATCTAGACAGAAGCATTCTCAGAAACGTCTTTGTGATGTTTGCATTCAACTCATAGAGTTGAACATTCCGTTTCAGAGAGCAGCTTTGAAGCACTCTTTTTGTAGTATGTGCAAGGGGATATTTTGAGCGCTCTGAGGCCTAAGGTGAAAAAGCAAATATCTTCCCATAACCACTAGACAGAAACATTCTCAGAAACTCCTTTATGACGTATGTACTCAACTAACAGAGAAGAACCTTCCTTTTGACAGAGCAGTTTTGATACCCTCTTTTTGTAGAATCTGCAAGTGGATATTTGGATAGCTGTGAAGATTTCGTTGGAAACGGGAATATCTTCCTATAAAATCTAGACAGAAGCATTCTCAGAAACTGCTCTGTGATGTCTGCATTCAAGTCACAGAGTTGAACATTGCCTTTCATAGAGCAGGTTTGAAACGCTCTTTTTGTTGTATATGGAAGTGGACGTTTCGGACGGTTTGAGGCCCATGGTGATAAAGGGAATATCTTCCCCTACAAGCTAGAAAGAAGCATTGTGTGAAACTTGTTTGTGATGTGTGTACTCAACTAACAGAGTTGAACCTTTCTTTTTACAGAGCAGTTTTGAAACACTCTTTTTGTAGAATCTGCGAGCGGATATTTGGATAGATTTCAGGATTTCGTTGGAAACGGGAATATCTTCATATAAAATCTCGACAGAAGCATTCTCAGAAACTTCTTTGTGATATCTGCATTCAAGTCACAGAGTTGAATATTCCCTTTCACAGAGTAGGATTGGAACACTCTTTTTGTAGTATCTGGAAGTGGACATTTGGAGCGCCTTGACGCCTACGGTGAAAAGGGAAATATCTTCCCATAAAAACTAGACAGAAGCAATCTCAGAATCTTCTTTGGGATATATGCACGCAGCTAACAGAGTTGAACCTTTCTATTGACAGAGCAGTTTTGAAACAGTCTTTCTGTGGAATCTGCAAGTGGATATTTGGATAGCTTGGAGGTTTTCTTTGGAAACGGGATTACGTATAAAAAGTAGACTGCAGCATCCTCAGAAACTTCTTTGTGATGTGTGCATTCAAGTCACAGAGTTGAACATTCCCTTTCGTACAGCAGTTTTGAAACACTCTTTCTGTAGTATCTGGAAGTGAACATTAGGACAGCTTTCAGGTCTATGGTGAGAAAGGAAATATCATCAAATGAAAACTAGACAGAAGCATTCTCATAAACTTGTTTGTGATGTGTCAACTCAGCTAAGAGAGGTGGATCTTTCTTTTGATAGAGCAGTTCTGAAAAACACTTTTTGTTGAATCTGCAAGTGGACATTTGGATAGATTTGAAGATTTCGTTGGAAACGGGAATATCTTCATATCAAATCTAGACAGAAGCATTCTCGGAAACGTCTTTGTGATGTTTGCATTCAACTCAAGGAGTTGAACATTCACTTTCAGAGAGCAGCTTTGAAGCACTCTTTTTGTAGTATGTGCAAGTGGATATTTGGATCGCTCTGAGGCCTAAGGTGAAAAAGCAAATATCTTCCCATAACCACTAGACAGAAACATTCTCAGAAACTCCTTTATGACGTATGCACTCACCTAACAGAAAAGAACCTTCCTTTTGACAGAGTAGTTTTGATACACTCTTTTTGTAGAATCTGCAAGTGGATATTTGGATAGCTGTGAAGATTTCGTTGGAAACGGGAATATCTTCCTATAAAATCTAGACAGAAGCATTCTCAGAAACTGCTCTGTGATGTCTGCATTCAAGTCACAGAGTTGAACATTGCCTTTCATACAGCAGGTTTGAAACGCTCTTTTTGTAGTATATGGAAGTGGACTTATCGGACGGTTTGAGGCCCATGGTGATAAAGGGAATATCTTCCCCTACAAGCTAGAAAGAAGCATTCTGTGAAACTTGTTTGTGATGTGTGTACTCAACTAACAGAGTTGAACCTTTCTTTTTACAGAGCAGTTTTGAAACACTCTTTTTGTAGAATCTGTGAGGGGATATTTGGATAGATTTCAGGATTTTGTTGGAAACGGGAATATCTTCATATAAAATCTCGACAGAAGCATTCTCAGAACCTTCTTTGTGATATCTGCATTCAAGTCACAGAGTTGAATATTCCCTTTCACTGAGTAGGTTTGAAACACTCTTTTTGTAGTATCTGGAAGTAGACATTTGGAGCGCCTTGACGCCTACGGTGAAAAGGGAAATATCTTCTCATAAAAAGTAGACAGAAGAAATCTCAGAATCTTCTTTGGGACATATGCACGCAGCTAACAGAGTTGAACCTTTCTATTGACAGAGCAGTTTTGAAACAGTCTTTCTGTGGAATCTGCAAGTGGATATTTGGTTAAATTGGAGGATTTCGTTGGAAACGGGATTACGTATAAAAATAGACAGCAGCATCCTCAGAAACTTCTTTGTGATGTGTGCATTCAAGTCACAGAGTTGAACATTCCCTTTCGTACAGCAGTTTTGAAACACTCTTTCTGTAGTATCTGGAAGTGAACATTAGGCCAGCTTTCAGGTCTATGGTGAGAAAGGAAATATCTTCAAATAAAAACTAGACAGAAGCATTCTCATAAACTTGTTTGTGATGTGTGAACTCAGCTAACAGAGGTGGATCTTTCTTTTGATAGAGCAGTTTTGAAAAACACTTTTTGTTGAATCTGCAAGTGGACATTTGGATAGATATGAAGATTTCGTTGGAAACGGGAATATCTTCATATCAAATCTAGACAGAAAGCATTCTCAGAAACGTCTTTGTGATGTTTGCATTCAACTCATAGAGTTGAACATTCCGTTTCAAAGAGCAGCTTTGAGGCACTCTTTTTGTAGTATGTGCAAGTGGATATTTGGAGCGCTCTGAGGCCTACGGTGAAAAAGCAAATATCTTCCCATAACCACTAGACAGAAACATTCTCAGAAACTCCTTTATGACGTATGCACTCACCTAACAGAGAAGAACCTTCCTTTTGACAGAGCAGTTTTGATACACTCTTTTTGTAGAATCTGCAAGTGGATATTTGGATAGCTGGGAAGATTTCGTTGGAAACGGGAATATCTTCCTATAAAATCTAGACAGAAGCATTCTCAGCAAACTGCTCTGTGATGTCTGCATTCAAGTCACAGAGTTGAACATTGCCTTTCATAGAGCAGGTTTGAAACGCTCTTTTTGTAGTATATGTAAGTAGACGTTTCGGACGGTTTGAGGCCCATGGTGATAAAGGGAATATCTTCCCCTACAAGCTAGAAAGAAGCATTCTGTGAAACTTGTTTGTGATGTGTGTACTCAACTAACAGAGTTGAACCTTTCTTTTTACAGAGCAGTTTTGAAACACTCTTTTTGTAGAATCTGCGAGGGGATATTTGGATAGATTTCAGGATTTCGATGGAAACGGGAATATCTTCATATAAAATCTCGACAGAAGCATTCTCAGAAACTTCTTTGTGATATCTGCATTCAAGTCACAGAGTTGAATATTCCCTTTCACAGAGTAGGTTTGAAACACTCTTTTTGTAGTATCTGGAAGTGGACATTTGGAGCACCTTGACACCTATGGTGAAAAGGGAAATATCTTCCGATAAAAACTAGACAGAAGCAATCTCAGAATCTTCTTTGGGATATATGCACGCAGCTAACAGAGTTGAACCTTTCTATTGACAGAGCAGTTTTGAAACAGTCTTTCTGTGGAATCTGCAAGTGGATATTTGGATAGCTTGGAGGATTTCGTTGGTAACGGGATTACGTATAAAAAGTAGACAGCAGCATCCTCAGCAAACTTCTTTGTGATGTGTGCATTCAAGTCACAGTAGTTGAACATTCCCTTTCGTACAGCAGTTTTGAAACACTCTTTCTGTAGTATCTGGAAGTGAACATTAGGACAGCTTTCAGGTCTATGGTGAGAAAGGAAATATCTTCAAATAAAAACTAGACAGAAGCATTCTGATAAACTTGTTTGTGAAGTGTGAACTCAGCTAACAGAGGTGGATCTTTCTTTTGATAGAGCAGTTCTGAAAAACACTTTTTGTTGAATCTGCAAGTGGACATTTGGATAGATTTGAAGATTTCGTTGGAAACGGGAATATCTTCATATCAAATACTAGACAGAAGCATTCTCAGAAACGTCTTTGTGATGTTTGCATTCAACTCATAGAGTTGAACATTCCCTTTCAGAGAGCAGCTTTGAAGCACTCTTTTTGTAGTATGTGCAAGTGGACATTTGGAGCGCTCTGAGGCCTACGGTGAAAAAGCAAATATCTTCCCATAACCACTAGACAGAAACATTCTCAGAAACTCCTTTATGACGTATGCACTCACCTAACAGAGAAGAACCTTCCTTTTGACAGAGGAGTTTTGATACACTCTTTTTGTAGAATCTGCAAGTGGATATTTGGATAGCTGTGAAGATTTCGTTGGAAACGGGAATATCTTCCTATAAAATCTAGACAGAAGCATTCTCAGAAACTGCTCTGTGATGTCTGCATTCAAGTCACAGAGTTGAACATTGCCTTTCATAGAGCAGGTTTGAAACGCTCTTTTTTTAGTATATGGAAGTGGACTTATCGGACGGTTTGAGGCCCATGGTGATAAAGGGAATATCTTCCCCTACAAGCTAGAAAGAAGCATTCTGTGAAACTTGTTTGTGATGTGTGTACTCAACTAACAGAGTTGAACCTTTCTTTTTAAAGAGCAGTTTTGAAACACTCTTTTTGTAGAATCTGCGAGGGGATATTTGGATAGATTTCAGGATTTCGTTGGAAACGGGAATATCTTCTTATAAAATCTCGACAGAAGCATTCTCAGAAACTTCTTTGTGATATCTGCATTACAGTCACAGAGTTGAATATTCCCTTTCACAGAGGAGGTTTGAAACACTCTTTTTATAGTATCTGGAATTGGACATTGGAGCGCCTTGACGCCTACGGTGAAAAGGGAAATATCTTCCCATAAAAACTAGACAGAAGCAATCTCAGAATCTTCTTTGGGATATATGCACGCAGCTAACAGAGTTGAACCTTTCTATTGACAGAGCAGTTTTGAAACAGTCTTTCTGTGGAATCTGCAAGTGGATATTTGGATAGCTTGGAGGATTTCTTTGGAAACGGGATTACGTATAAAAAGTAGACAGCACCATCCTCAGAAACTTCTTTGTGATGTGTGCATTCAAGTCACAGAGTTGAACATCCCGTTTCGTACAGCAGTTTTGAAACACTCTTTCTGTAGTATCTGGAAGTAAGCATTAGGATAAGCATTAGGACAGCTTTCAGGTCTATGGTGAGAAAGGAAATATCTTCAAATAAAAACTAGACAGAAGCATTCTCATAAACTTGTTTGTGATGTGTGAACTCAGCTAACAGAGGTGGATACTTCTTTTGATAGAGCAGTTCTGAAAAACACTTTTAGTTGAATCTGCAAGTGGACATTTGGATAGATTTGAAGATTTCGTTGGAAACGGGAATATCTTCATATCAAATCTAGACAGAAGCATTCTCAGAAACGTCTTTGTGATGTTTGCATTCAACTCATAGAGTTGAACATTCCGTTTCAGAGAGCAGCTTTGAAGCACTCTTTTTGTAGTATGTGCAAGTGGATATTTGGATCGCTGTGAGGCCTAAGGTGAAAAAGCATATATCTTCCCATAACCACTAGACAGAAACATTCTCAGAAACTGCTTTATGACGTATGCACTCACCTAACAGAGAAGAACCTTCCTTTTGACAGAGCAGCTTTGATACACTCTTTTTGTAGAATCTGCAAGTGGATATTTGGATAGCTGTGAAGATTTCGTTGGAAACGGGAATATCTTCCTATAAAATCTAGACAGAAGCATTCTCAGAAACTGCTCTGTGATGTCTGCATTCAAGTCACAGAGTTGAACATTGCCTTTCATAGAGCAGGTTTGAAACGCTCTTTTTGTAGAATATGGAACTGGATGTTTCGGACGGTTGGAGGCCCATGGTGATAAAGGGAATATCTTCCCCTACAAGCTAGAAAGAAGCATTGTGTGAAACTTCTTTGTGATGTGTGTACTCAACTAACAGAGTTGAACCTTTCTTTTTACAGAGCAGTTTTGAAACACTCTTTTTGTAGAATCTGCAAGGGGATATTTGGATACATTTCAGGATTTCGTTGGAAACGGGAATATCTTCATATAAAATCTCGACAGAAGCATTCTCAGAAACTTCTTTGTGATATCTGCATTCAAGTCACAGAGTTGAATATTCCCTTTCACAGAGTAGGTTTGAAACACTCTTTTTGTAGTATCTGGAAGTGGACATTTGGAGCGTCTTGACACCTACGGTGAAAAGGGAAATATCTTCCCATAAAAACTAGACAGAAGCAATCTCAGCAATCTTCTTTGGGATATATGTACGCAGCTAATAGAGTTGAACCTTTCTATTGACAGAGCAGTTTTGAAACAGTCTTTCTGTGGAATCTGCAAGTGGATATTTGGATAGCTTGGAGGATTTCGTTGGAAACGGGATTACGTATAAAAAGTAGACAGCAGCATCCTCAGAAACTTCTTTGTGATGTGTGCATTCAAGTCACAGAGTTCAACATTCCCTTTCGTACAGCAGTTTTGAAACACTCTTTCTGTAGTATCTGGAAGTGAACATTAGGACAGCTTTCAGGTCTATGGTGAGAAAGGAAATATCTTCAAATAAAAACTATACAGAAGCATTCTCATAAACTTGTTTGTGATGTGTGAACTCAGCTAACAGAGGTGGATCTTTCTTTTGATAGTGCAGTTCTGAAAAACACTTTTTGTTGAATCTGCAAGTGGACATTTGGATAGATTTGAAGATTTCGTTGGAAACGGGAATATCTTCATATCAAATCTAGACAGAAGCATTCTCAGAAACGTCTTTGCGATGTTTGCATTCAACTCATAGAGTTGAACATTCCGTTTCAGAGAGCAGCTTTGAAGCACTCTTTTTGTAGTATGTGCAAGGGGATATTTGGAGCGCTCTGAGGCCTACGGTGAAAAAGCAAATATCTTCCCATAATCACTAGACAGAAACATTCTCAGAAACTCCTTTATGACGTATGCACTCATCTAACAGAGAAGAACCTTCCTTTTGACAGAGCAGTTTTGATACACTCTTTTTGTAGAATCTGCAAGTGGATATTTGGATAGCTGTGAAGATTTCGTTGGAAACGGGAATATCTTCCTATAAAATCTAGACAGAAGCATTCTCAGAAACTGCTCTGTGATGTCTGCATTCAAGTCACAGAGTTGAACATTGCCTTTCATAGAGGAGGTTTCAAACACTCTTTTTGTAGTATATGGAAGTGGACGTTTCGGACGGTTTGAGGCCCATGGTGATAAAGGGAATATCTTCCCCTACAAGCTAGAAAGAAGCATTCTGTGAAACTTGTTTGTGCTGTGTGTACTCAACTAACAGAGTTGAACCTTTCTTTTTACAGAGCAGTTTTGAAACACTCTTTTTGTAGAATCTGCGAGGGGATATTTGGATAGATTTCAGGATTTCGTTGGAAACGGGAATATCTTCATATAAAATCTCGACAGAAGCATTCTCAGAAACTTCTTTGTGATATGTGCATTCAAGTCACAGAGTTGAATATTCCCTTTCAGAGAGTAGGTTTGAAACACTCCTTTTGTAGTATCTGGAAGTGGACATTTGGAGCGCCTTGACGCCTACGGTGAAAAGGGAAATATCTTCCCATAAAAACTAGACAGAAGCAATCTCAGAATCTTCTTTGGGATATATGCACGCAGCTAACAGAGTTGAACCTTTCTATTGACAGAGCAGTTTTGAAATAGTCTTTCTGTGGAATCTGCAAGTAGATATTTGGATAGCTTGGAGGATTTCGTTGGAATCGGGATTACGTATAAAAAGTAGACAGCAGCATCCTCAGCAAACTTCTTTGTGATGTGTGCATTCAAGTCACAGAGTTGAACATTCCCTTTCGTACAGCAGTTTTGAAACACTCTTTCTGTAGTAACTGGAAGTGAACACTAGGACAGCTTTCAGGTCTATGGTGAGAAAGGAAATATCTTCAAATAAAAACTAGACAGAAGCATTCTCATAAACTTGTTTGTGATGTGTGAACTCAGCTAACAGAGGTGGATCTTTCTTTTGATAGAGCAGTTCTGAAAAACACTTTTTGATGAATCTGCAAGTGGACATTTGGATAGATTTGAAGATTTCGTTGGAAACGGGAATATCTTCATATCAAATCTAGACAGAAGCATTCTCAGAAACGTCTTTGTGATGCTTGCATTCAACTCATAGTAGTTGAACATTCCCTTCCAGAGAGCAGCTTTGAAGCACTCTTTTTATAGTATGTGCAAGGGGATATTTGGAGCGCTCTGAGGCCTAAGGTGAAAAAGCAAATATCTTCCCATAACCACTAGACAGAAACATTCTCAGAAACTCCTTTATGACGTATGCACTCAACTAACAGAAAAGAACCTTCCTTTTGACAGAGCAGTTTTGATACACTCTTTTTGTAGAATCTGCAAGTGGATATTTGGATAGCTGTGAAGATTTCGTTGGAAACGGGAATATCTTCCTATAAAATCTAGACAGAAGCATTCTCAGAAACTGCTCTGTGATGTCTGCATTCAAGTCACAGAGTTGAACATTGCCTTTCATAGAGCAGGTTTGAAACGCTCTTTTTGTAGTATATGGAAGTAGACGTTTCGGACGGTTTGAGGCCCATGGTTATAAAGGGAATATCTTCCCCTACAAGCTAGAAAGAAGCATTCCGTGAAACTTGTTTGTGATGTGTGTACTCAACTAACAGAGTTGAACCTTCCTTTTCACAGAGCAGTTTTGAAACACTCTTTTTGTAGAATCTGCGAGGGGATATTTGGATAGATTTCAGGATTTCGTTGGAAACGGGAATATCTTCATATAAAATCTCGACAGAAGCATTCTCAGAAACTTCTTTGTGATATGTGCATTCAAGTCACAGAGTTGAATATTCCCTTTCACAGAGTAGGTTTGAAACACTCTTTTTGTAGTATCTGGAAGTGGACATTTGGAGCGCCTTGACACCTACGGTGAAAAGTGAAATATCTTCCCATAAAAACTAGACAGAAGCAATCTCAGAATCTTCTTTGAGATATATGCACGCAGCTAATAGAGTTGAACCTTTCTATTGACAGAGCAGTTTTGAAACAGTCTTTCTGTGGAATCTGCAAGTGGATATTTGGATAGCTTGGAGGATTTCGTTGGAAACGGGATTACGTATAAAAAGTAGACAGCAGCATCCTCAGAAACTTCCTTGTGATGTGTGCATTCAAGTCACAGAGTTGAACATTCCCTTTCATACAGCAGTTTTGAAACACTCTTTCTGTAGTATCTGGAAGTGAACATTAGGACAGCTTTCAGGTCTATGGTGAGAAAGGAAATATCTTCAAATAAAAACTAGACAGAAAGCATTCTCATAAACTTGTTTGTGATGTGTGAACTCAGCTAACAGAGGTGGATCTTTCTTTTGATAGAGCAGTTCTGAAAAACACTTTTTGTTGAATCTGCAAGTGGAGATTTGGATAGATTTGAAGATTTCGTTGGAAACGGGAATATCTTCATATCAAATCTAGACAGAAGCATTCTCAGAAACGTCTTTGTGATGTTTGCATTCAACTCATAGAGTTGAACATTCCGTTTCAGAGAGCAGCTTTGAAGCACTCTTTTTGTAGTATGTGCAAGTGGATATTTGGAGAGCTCTGACGCCTACGGTGAAAAAGCAAATATCTTCCCATAACCACTAGACAGAAACATTCTCAGAAACTCCTTTATGACGTATGCACTCACCTAACAGAGAAGAACCTTCCTTTTGACAGAGCAGGTTTGATACACTCTTTTTGTAGAATCTGCAAGTGGATATTTGGATAGCTGTGAAGATTTTGTTGGAAACGGGAATATCTTCCTATAAAATCTAGACAGAAGCATTCTCAGAAACTGCTCTGTGATGTCTGCATTCAAGTCACAGAGTTGAACATTGCCTTTCATAGAGCAGGTTTGAAACGCTCTTTTTGTAGTATATGGAAGTGGATGTTTCAGACGGTTGGAGGCCCATGGTGATAAAGGGAATATCTTCCCCTACGAGCTAGAAAGAAGCATTCTGTGAAACTTGTTTGTGATGTGTGTACTCAACTAACAGAGTTGAACCTTTCTTTTCACAGAGCAGTTTTGAAACACTCTTTTTGTAGAATCTGCGAGGGGATATTTGGATAGATTTCAGCATTTCGTTGGAAACGGGAATATCTTCATATAAAATCTCGACAGAAGCATTCTCAGAAACTTCTTTGTGATATGTGCATTCAAGTCACAGAGTTGAATATTCCCTTTCACAGAGTAGGTTTGAAACACTCTTTTTGTAGTGTCTGGAAGTGGACATTTGGAGCGCCTTGACGCCTACGGTGAAAAGGGAAATATCTTCCCATAAAAACTAGACAGAAGCAATCTCAGAATCTTCTTTGGGATATATGCACGCAGCTAACAGAGTTTAACCTTTCTATTGACAGAGCAGTTTTGAAACAGTGTTTCTGTGGAATCTGCAAGTGGATATTTGGATAGATTGGAGGATTTCGTTGGAAACGGGATTACATATAAAAAGTAGACATCAGCATCCTCAGAAACTTCTTTGTGATGTGTGCATTCAAGTCACAGAGTTGAACATTCCCTTTCGTACAGCAGTTTTGAAACACTCTTTCTGTATTATCTGGGAGTGAACATTAGGACAGCTTTCAGGTCTATGGTGAGAAAGGAAATATCTTCAAATAAAAACTAGACAGAAAGCATTCTCATAAACTTGTTTGTGATGTGTGAACTCAGCTAACAGAGGTGGATCTTTCTTTTGATAGAGCAGTTCTGAAAAACACTTTTTTTTGAATCTGCAAGTGGACATTTGGATAGATTTGAAGATTTCTTTGGAAACGGGAATATCTTCATATCAAATCTAGACAGAAGCATTCTCAGAAACGTCTTTGTGATGTTTGCATTCAACTCATAGAGTTGAACATTCCGTTTCAGAGAGCAGCTTTGAAGCACTCTTTTTGTAGTATGTGCAAGTGGATATTTGGAGCGCTCTGAGGCCTACGGGGAAAAAGCAAATATCTTCCCATAAACACTAGACTGAAACATTCTCAGAAACTCCTTTATGACGTATGCACTCACCTAACAGAGAAGAACCTTCCTTTTGACAGAGCAGTTTTGATACACTCTTTTTGTAGAATCTGCAAGTGCATATTTGGATAGCTGTGAAGATTTCGTTGGAAACGGGAATATCTTCCTATAAAATCTAGACAGAAGCATTCTCAGAAACTGCTCTGTGATGTCTGCATTCAAGTCACAGAGTTGAACATTGCCTTTCATGGAGCAGGTTTGAAACGGTCTTTTTGTAGTATATGGAAGTGGACGATTCGGACGGTTTGAGTCCCATGGTGATAAAGGGAATATCTTCCCCTACAAGCTAGAAAGAAGCATTCTGTGAAACTTGTTTGTGATGTGTGTACTCAACTAACAGAGTTGAACCTTTCTTTTTACAGAGCAGTTTTGAAACACTCTTTTTGTAGAATCTGCGAGGGGATATTTGGATAGATTTCAGGATTTCCTTGGAAACGGGAATATCTTCATATAAAATCTCGACAGAAGCATTCTCATAAACTTCTTTGTGATGTGTGAACTCAGCTAACCGAGGTGGATCTTTCTTTTGATAGAGCAGTTCTGAAAAAAACTTTTTGTTGAATCTGCAAGTGGACATTTGGATAGATTTGAAGATTTCGTTGGGAACGGGAATATCTTCATATCAAATCTAGACAGAAGCAATCTCAGAATCTTCCTTGGGATATATGCACGCAGTTAACAGAGTTGAACCTTTCTATTGACAGAGCAGTTTTGAAACAGTCTTTCCGTGGAATCTGCAAGTGGATATTTGGTTAGCTTGGAGGATTTCGTTGGAAACGGGATTACGTATAAAAATTAGACAGCAGCATCCTCAGAAACTTCTTTGTGATGTGTGCATTCAAGTCACAGATTTGAACATTTCCTTTCGTACAGCAGCTTTGAAACACTCTTTCTGTAGTATCTGGAAGTGAACATTAGGACAGCTTTCAGGTCTATGGTGAGAAAGGAAATATCTTCAAATAAAAACTAGACAGAATCATTCTCATAAACTTGTTTGTGATGTGTGAACTCAGCTAACAGAGGTGGATCTTTCTTTTGATAGAGCAGTTCTGAAAAACACTTTTTGTTGAATCTGCAAGTGGACATTTGGATAGATTTGAAGATTTCGTTGGAAACGGGAATATCTTCATATCAAATCTAGACAGAAAGCATTCTCAGAAACGTCTTTGCGATGTTTGCATTCAACTCATAGAGTTGAACATTCCCTTTGAGTGAGTAGCTTTGAAGCACTCTTTTTGTAGCATGTGCAAGTGGACATTTGGAGCGCCCTGAGGCCTACGGGGAAAAAGCAAATATCTTCCCATAACCACTAGACAGAAACATTCTCAGAAACTCCTTTATGACCTATGCACTCACCTAAAAGAGAAGAACCTTCCTTTTGACAGAGCAGTTTTGATACACTCTTTTTGTAGAATCTGCAAGTGCATATTTGGATAGCTGTGAAGATTTCGTTGGAAACGGGAATATCTTCCTATAAAATCTAGACAGAAGCATTCTCAGAAACTGCTCTGTGATGTCTGCATTCAAGTCACAGAGTTGAACATTGCCTTTCATTTAGCAGGTTTGAAACGCTCTTTTTGTAGTATATGGAAGTGGACGTTTCGGACGGTTTGAGGCCCATGGTGATAAAGGCAATATCTTCCCCTACAAGCTAGAAAGAAGCATTCTGTGAAACTTGTTTGTGATGTGTGTACTCAACTAACAGAGTTGAACCTTTCTTTTTACAGAGCAGTTTTGAAACACTCTTTTTGTAGAATCTGCGAGGGGATATTTGGATACATTTCAGCATTTCGTTGGAAACGGGAATATCTTCATACAAAATCTCGACAGAAGCATTCTCAGAAACTTCCTTGTGATATGTGCATTCAAGTCACAGAGTTGAATATTCCCTTTCACAGAGTAGGTTTGGAACACTCTTTTTGTAGTATCTGGAAGTGGACATTTGGAGCGCCTTGACGCCCACGGTGAAAAGGGAAATATCTTCCCATAAAAACTAGACAGAAGCAATCTCAGAATCTTCTTTGGGATATATGCACGCAGCTAACAGAGTTGAACTTTTCTATTGACAGAGCAGTTTTGAAACAGTCTTTCTGTGGAATCTGCAAGTGGATATTTGGATAGCTTGGAGGATTTCGTTTGAAACGGGATTACGTATAAAAAGTAGACAGCAGCATCCTCAGAAACTTCTTTGTGATGTGTGCATTCAAGTCACAGAGTTGAACATTCCCTTTCGTACAGCAGTTTTGAAACACTCTTTCTGTAGTATCTGAAGTGAACAATAGGACAGCTTTCAGGTCTATGGTGAGAAAGGAAATATCTTCAAATAAAAACTAGACAGAAGCATTCTGATAAACTTGTTTTTGAAGTGTGAACTCAGCTAACAGAGGTGGATCTTTCTTTTGATAGAGCAGTTCTGAAAAACACTTTGTTGAATCTGCAAGTGGACATTTGGATAGATTTGAAGATTTCGTTGGAAACGGGAATATCTTCATATCAAATCTAGACAGAAGCATTCTCAGAAACGTCTTTGTGATGATTGCATTTAACTCATAGAGTTGAACATTCCGTTTCAGAGAGCAGCTTTGAAACACTCTTTTTGTAGTATGTGCAAGTGGATATTTGGAGCGCTCTGAGGCCTAAGGTGAAAAAGCAAATATCTTCCCATAACCACTAGACAGAAACATTCTCAGAAACTTATTTATGACGTATGTACTCAAGTAGCAGAGAAGAACTTTCCTTTTGACAGAGAACTTTGGATACACACTTTTTGTAGTATCTGCAAGTGGATATTTGGATAGGTGTGAAGATTTCGTTGGAAACGGGAATATCTTCATATCAAATCTGACAGAAGCATTCTCAGAAACTGCTCTGTGATGTCTGCATTCAAGTCACAGAGTTGAACATTGCTTTTCATAGAGCAGGTTTGAAACGCTCTTTTTGTAGTATATGGAAGTAGACGTTTCGGACGGTTTGAGGCCCATGGTGATAAACGGAATATCTTCCCCTACAAGCTAGAAAGAAGCATTCTGTGAAACTTGTTTGTGATGTGTGTACTCAACTAACAGAGTTGAACCTTTCTTTTTACAGAGCAGTTTTGAAACACTCTTTTTGTAGAATCTGCGAGGGGATATTTGGATTGATTTCAGGATTTCGTTGGAAACGGGAATATCTTCATATAAAATCTCGACAGAAGCATTCTCAGAAACTTCTTTGTGATATCTGCATTCAAGTCACAGAGTTGAATATTCCCTTTCACAGAGTAGGTTTGAAACACTCTTTTTGTAGTATCTGGAAGTGGACATTTGGAGAGCCTTGACGCCTACGGTGAAAAGGGAAATATCTTCCCATAAAAACTAGACAGAAGCAATCTCAGAATCTTCTTTGTGATATATGCACGCAGCTAACAGAGTTGAACCTTTCTATTGACAGAGCAGTTTTGAAACAGTCTTTCTGTGGAATCTGCAAGTGGATATTTGGATAGCTTGGAGGATTTCGTTGGAAACGGGATTACGTATAAAAATTAGACAGCAGCATCCTCAGAAACTTCTTTGTGATGTGTGCATTCAAGTCACAGTGTTGAACATTCCCTTTCGTACAGCAGTTTTGAAACACTCTTTCTGTAGTATCTGGAAGTGAACATTAAGACAGCTTTCAGGTCTATGGTGAGAAAGGAAATATCTTCAAATAAAAACTAGACAGAAGCATTCTCATAAACTTGTTTGTGATGTGTGAACTCAGCTAACAGAGGTGGATCTTTCTTTTGATAGAGCAGTTCTGAAAAACACTTTTTGTTGAATCTGCAAGTGGACATTTGAATAGATTTGAAGATTTCGTTGGAAACGGGAATATCTTCATATCAAGTCTAGACAGAAGCATTCTCAGAAACGTCTTTGTGATGTTGGCATTCAAATCATAGAGTTGAACATTCCGTTTCAGAGAGCAGCTTTGAGGCACTCTTTTTGTAGTATGTGCAAGTGGATATTTGGAGCGCTCTGAGGCCTACGGTGAAAAAGCAAATATCTTCCCATAACCACTAGACAGAAACATTCTCAGAAACTTCTTTATGACGTATGTACTCAACTAACAGAGAAGAACCTTCCTTTTGACAGAGCAGTTTTGATACACTCTTTTTGGAGAATCTGCAAGTGGATATTTGGATATCTGTGAAGAATTCCTTGGAAACGCAAATATCTTCCTATAAAATCTAAACAAAAAGCATTCTCAGAAACTGCTCTGTGATGTCTGCATTCAAGTCACAGAGTTGAACATTGCCTTTCATAGAGCAGGTTTGAAAGGCTCTTTTTGTAGTATATGGAAGTGGACGTTTCGGACGGTTGGAGGCCCATGGTGATAAAGGGAATATCTTCCCCTACAAGCTAGAAAGAAGCATTCTGTGAAACTTGTTTGTGATGTGTGTACTCAACTAACAGAGTTGAACCTTTCTTTTTACAGAGCAGTTTTGAAACACTCTTTTTGTATAATCTGCGAGGGGATATTTGGATAGATTTCAGGATTTCGTTGGAAACGGGAATATCTTCATATAAAATCTCGACAGAAGCATTCTCAGAAACTTCCTTGTGATATGTGCATTCAAGTCACAGAGTTGAATATTCCCTTTCACAGAGTAGGTTTGAAACACTCTTTTTGTAGTATCTGGAAGTGGACATTTGGAGCGCCTTGAAACCTACGGTGAAAAGGGAAATATCTTCCCATAAAAACTAGACAGAAGCAATCTCAGAATCTTCTTTGGGATATATGCACGCAACTAACAGAGTTGAACCTTTCTATTGACAGAGCAGTTTTGAAACAGTCTTTCTGTGGAATCTGCAAGTGGATATTTGGATAGCTTGCAGGATTTCTTTGGAAATGGGATTACGTATAAAAAGTAGACAGCAACATCCTCAGAAACTTCTTTGTGATGTGTGCATTCAACTCACAGAGTTGAACATTCCCTTTCGTACAGCAGTTTTGAAACACTCTTTCTGTAGTAACTGGAAGTGAACATTAGGACAGCTTTCAGGTCTATGGTGAGAAAGGAAATATCTTCAAATAAAAACTAGACAGAAGCATTCTCATAAACTTGTTTGTGATGTGTGAACTCAGCTAACAGAGGTGGATCTTTCTTTTGATACAGCAGTTTTGAAAAACACTTTTTGTTGAATCCGCAAGTGGACATTTGGATAGATTTGAAGATTTCGTTGGAAACGGGAATATCTTCATATCAAATCTAGACAGAAGCATTCTCAGAAACGTCTTTGTGATGTTTGCATTCAACTCATAGAGTTGAACATTCCGTTTCAGAGAGCAGCTTTGAGGCACTCTTTTTGTAGTATGTGCAAGTGGATATTTGGACCGCTCTGAGGCCTACGGTGAAAAAGCAAATATCTTCCCATAACCACTAGACAGAAACATTCTCAGAAACTCCTTTATGACGTGTGCACTCACCTAACAGAGAAGAACCTTCCTTTTGACAGAGCAGTTTTGATACACTCTTTTTGTAGAATTTGCAAGTGGATATTTGGATAGCTGTGAAGATTTCGTTGGAAACGGGAATATCTTCCTATAAAATCTAGACAGAAGCATTCTCAGAAACTGCTCTGTGATGTCTGCATTCAAGTCACAGAGTTGAACATTGCCTTTCATAGAGCAGGTTTGAAACGCTCTTTTTGTAGTATATGTAAGTAGACGTTTCGGACGGTTTGAGGCCCATGGTGATAAAGGGAATATCTTCCCCTACAAGCTAGAAAGAAGCATTCTGTGAAACTTGTTTGTGATGTGTGTACTCAACTAACAGAGTTGAACCTTTCTTTTTACAAAGCAGTTTTGAAACACTCTTTTTGTAGAATCTGCGAGGGGATATTTGGATAGATTTCAGGATTTCGTTGGAAACGGGAATATCTTCATATAAAATCTCGACAGAAGCATTCTCAGAAACTTCTTTGTGATATGCGCATTCAAGTCACAGTGTTGAATATTCCCTTTCACAGAGTAGGTTTGAAACACTCTTTTTGTAGTATCTGGAAGTGGACATTTGGAGCGCCTTGACACCTATGATGAAAAGGGAAATATCTTCCCATAAAAACTAGACAGAAGCAATCTCAGAATCTTCTTTGGGATATATGCACGCAGCTAACAGAGTTGAACCTTTCTATTGACAGAGCAGTTTTGAAACAGTCTTTCTGTGGAATCTGCAAGTGGATATTTGGATAGCTTGGAGGATTTCGTTGGAAACGGGATTACATATACAAAGTAGACAGCAGCATCCTCAGAAACATCCTTGTGATGTGTGCATTCAAGTCACAGAGTTGAACATTCCCTTTCGTACAGCAGTTTTGAAACACTCTTTCTGTAGTATCTGGAAGTGAACTTTAGCACAGCTTTCAGGTCTATGGTGAGAAAGGAAATATCTTCAAATAAAAACTAGACAGAAGCATTCTCATAAACTTGTTTGTGATGTGTGAACTCAGCTAACAGAGGTGGATCTTTCTTTTGATAGAGCAGTTCTGAAAAACACTTTTTGTTGAATCTGCAAGTGGACATTTGGATAGATTTGAAGATTTCGTTGGAAATGGGAATATCTTCATATCAAATCTAGACAGAAGCATTCTCAGAAACGTCTTTGTGATGTTTGCATTCAACTCATAGAGTTTAACATTCCGTTTCAGAGAGCAGCTTTGAAGCACTCTTTTTGTAGTATGTGCAAGTGGATATTTGGAGCGCTCTGAGGCCTACGGTGAAAAAGCAAATATCTTCCCATAACCACTAGACAGAAACATTCTCAGAAACTCCTTTATGACGTATGTACTCAACTAACAGAGAAGAACCTTCCTTTTGACAGAGCAGATTTGATACACTCTTTTTGTAGAATCTGCAAGTGGATATTTGGATAGCTGTGAAGATTTCGTTGGAAACGGGAATATCTTCCTATAAAATCTAGACAGAAGCATTCTCAGAAACTGCTCTGTGATGTCTGCATTCAAGTCACAGATTTGAACATTGCCTTTCATAGAGCAGGTTTGAAACGCTCTTTTTGTAGTATATGGAAGTGGACGTTTCGGACGGTTTGAGGCCCATGGTGATAAAGGGAATATCTTCCCCTACAAGCTAGAAAGAAGCATTCTGTGAAACTTGTTTGTGATGTGTGTACGCAACTAACAGAGTTGAACCTTTCTTTTTACAGAGCAGTTTTGAAACACTCTTTTTGTAGAATCTGCGAGGGGATATTTGGATACATTTCAGCATTTCGTTGGAAACGGGAATATCTTCATATAAAATCTCGACAGAAGCATTCTCAGAAACTTCTTTGTGATATCTGCCTTCAAGTCACAGAGTTGAATATTCCCTTTCACAGAGTAGGTTTGAAACACTCTTTTTGTAGTATCTGGAAGTGGACATTTGGAGCGCCTTGACGCCTACGGTGAAAAGGGAAATATCTTCCCATAAAAAATAGACAGAAAGCAATCTCAGAATCTTCTTTGGGATATATGCACGCAGCTAACAGAGTTGAACCTTTCTATTGACAGAGCAGTTTTGAAACAGTCTTTCTGTGGAATCTGCAAGTGGATATTTGGATAGCTTGGAGGATTTCGTTGGAAACGGGATTACGTATCAAAAGTAGACAGCAGCATCCTCAGAAACTTCTTTGTGATGTGTGCATTCAAGTCACAGAGTTGAACATTCCCTTTCGTACAGCAGTTTTGAAACACTCTTTCTGTAGTATCTGGAAGTGAACATTAGGACAGCTTTCAGGCCTATGGTGAGAAAGGAAATATCTTCAAATAAAAACTAGACAGAAGCATTCTCATAAACTTGTTTGTGATGTGTGTACTCAGCTAACAGACGTGGATCTTTCTTTTGATAGAGCAGTTCTGAAAAACACTTTTTGTTGAATCTGCAAGTGGACATTTGGATAGATTTGAAGATTTCGTTGGAAACGGGAATATCTTCATATCAAATCTAGACAGAAGCATTCTCAGAAACGCCTTTGTGATGTTTGCATTCAACTCATAGAGTTGAACATTCCCTTTCTGAGAGGAGCTTTGAAGCACTCTTTTTGTAGTATGTGCAAGTGGACATTTGGACCGCTTTGAGGCCTACGGGGAAAAAGCAAATATCTTCCCATAACCACTAGACAGGAACATTCTCAGAAACTTCTTTATGACGTATGTACTCAACTAGCAGAGAAGAACTTTCCTTTTGACAGAGCATTTCTGATACACTCTTTTTGTACTATCTGCAAGTGGATATTTGGATAGCTGTGAAGATTTCGTTGGAAACGGGAATATCTTCCTATAAAGTCTGGACAGAAGCATTCTCAGAAACTGCTCTGTGATGTCTGCATTCAAGTCACAGAGTTGAACATTGCCGTTCATAGAGCAGGTTTGAAACACTCTTTTTGTAGTATATGGAAGTGGACGTTTCGGACGGTTTGAGGCCCATGGTGATAAAGGGAATATCTTCCCATACAAGCTAGAAAGAAGCATTCTGTGAAACTTGTTTGTGATGTGTGTACTCAACTAACAGAGTTGAACCTTTCTTTTTACAGAGCAGTTTTGAAACACTCTTTTTGTAGAATCTGCGAGGGGATATTTGGATAGATTTCAGGATTTCGTTGGAAACGGGAATGTCTTCATATAAAATCTCGACAGAAGCATTCTCAGAAGCTTCTTTGTGATATGTGCATTCAAGTCACAGAGTTCAATATTCCCTTTCACAGAGTAGGTTTGAAACACTCTTTTTGTAGTATCTGGAAGTGGACATTTGGAGCGCCTTGACGCCTACGGTGAAAAGGGTAATATCTTCTCATAAAAAGTAGACAGAAGCAATCTCAGAATCTTCTTTGGGATATATGCACGCAGCTAACAGAGTTGAACCTTTCTATTGACAGAGCAGTTTTGTAACAGTCTTTCTGTGGAATCTGCAAGTGGATATTTGGATAGCTTGGAGGATTACGTTGGAAACGGGATTACGTATAAAAAGTAGACAGCAGCATCCTCAGAAACATCCTTGTGATGTGTGCATTCAAGTCACAGAGTTGAACATTCCCTTTCGTACAGCAGTTTTCAAACACTCTTTCTGTAGTATCTGGAAGTGAACTTTAGGACAGCTTTCAGGTCTATAGTGAGAAAGGATATATCTTCAAATAAAAACTAGACAGAAGCATTCTCATAAACTTGTTTGTGATGTGTGAACTCAGGTAACAGACGTGGATCTTTCTTTTGATACAGCAGTTTTGAAAAACACTTTTTGTTGAATCTGCAAGTGGACATTTGGATAGATTTGAAGATTTCGTTGGAAACGGGAATATCTTCATATCAAATCTAGACAGAAGCATTCTCAGAAACGTCTTTGTGATGTTTCCATTCAACTCATAGAGTTGAACATTCCCTTTCAGAGAGCAGCTTTGAAGCACTCTTTTTGTAGTATGTGCAAGTGGATATTTGGAGCGCTCTGAGGCCTACGGTGAAAAAGCAAATATCTTCCCATAACCACTAGACAGAAACATTCTCAGAAACTCCTTTATGACGTATGCACTCACCTAACAGAGGAGAACCTTCCTTTCGACAGAGCAGTTTTGATACACTCTTTTTGTAGAATCTGCAAGTGGATATTGGGATAGCTGTGAAGATTTCGTTGGAAACGGGAATATCTTCCTATAAAATCTAGACAGAAGCATTCTCAGAAACAGCTCTGTGATGTCTGCATTCAAGTCACAGAGTTGAACATTGCCTTTCATAGAGCAGGTTTGAAACGCTCTTTTTGTAGTATATGGAAGTGGACGTTTCGGACGGTTTGAGGCCCATGGTGATAAAGGGAATATCTTCCCCTACAAGCTAGAAAGAAGCATTCTGTGAAAGTTGTTTGTGATGTGTGTACTCAACTAACAGAGTTGAACCTTTCTTTTTACAGAGCAGTTTTGAAACACTCTTTTTGTAGAATCTGCGAGGGGATATTTGGATAGATTTCAGGATTTCATTGGAAACGGGAATATCTTCATATAAAATCTCGACAGAAGCATTCTCAGAAACTTCTTTGTGATATCTGCTTTCAAGTCACAGAGTTGAATATTCCCTTTCACAGAGTAGGTTTGAAACACTCTTTCTGTAGTATCTGGAAGTGGACATTTGGAGCGCCTTGACACCTACGGTGAAAAGGGAAATATCTTCCCATAAAAACTAGACAGAAGCAATCTCAGAATCTTCTTTGGGATATATGCACGCAGCTAACGGAGTTGAACATTTCTATTGACAGAGCAGTTTTGAAACAGTCGTTCTGTGGAATCTGCAAGTGGATATTTGGATAGCTTGGAGGATTTCGTTGGAAACGGGATTACGTATAAAAAGTAGACAGCAGCATCCTCAGAAACTTCTTTGTGATGTGTGCATTCAAGTCACAGAGTTGAACATTCCCTTTCGTACAGCAGTTTTGACACACTCTTTCTGTAGCATCTGGAAGTGAACATTAGGACAGCTTTCAGGTCTATGGTGAGAAAGGAAATATCTTCAAATAAAAACTAGACAGAAGCATTCTCATAAACTTGTTTGTGATGTGTGAACTCAGCTAACAGAGGTGGATCTTTCTTTTGATAGAGCAGTTCTGAAAAACACTTTTTGTTGAATCTGCAAGTGGACATTAGGATAGATTTGAAGATTTCGTTGGAAACGGGAATATCTTCATATCAAATCTAGACAGAAGCATTCTCAGAAACGTCTTTGTCATGTTTGCATTCAACTCATAGAGTTGAACATTCCCTTTCAGAGAGCAGCTTTGAAACACTCTTTTTGTAGTATGTGCAAGTGGATATTTGGAGCGCTCTGAGGCCTACGGTGAAAAAGCAAATATCTTCCCATAACCACGAGACAGAAACATTCTCAGAAACTCCTTTATGACGTATGTACTCAACTAACAGAGAAGAACCTTCCTTTTGACAGAGCAGTTTTGATACACTCTTTTTGTAGAATCTGCAAGTGGATATTTGGATAGCTGTGAAGATTTCGTTGGAAACGGGAATACCTTCCTATAAAATCTAGACAGAAGCATTCTCAGAAACTGCTCTGTGATGTCTGCATTCAAGTCACAGAGTTGAACATTGCCTTTCATAGAGCAGGTTTGAAACGCTCTTTTTGTAATATATGGAAGTGGACTTTTCGGACGGTTTGAGGCCCATGGTGATAAAGGGAGTATCTTCCCCTACAAGCTAGAAAGAAGCATTCTGTGAAACTTGTTTGTGATGTGTGTACTCAACTAACAGAGTTGAACCTTCCTTTTTACAGAGCAGTTTTGAAACACTCTTTTTGTAGAATCTGCGAGGGGATATTTGGATAGATTTCAGGATTTCGTTGGAAACGGGAATATCTTCATATAGAAATCTCGACAGAAGCATTCTCAGAAACTTCTTTGTGATATGTGCATTCAAGTCACAGAGATGAATATTCCCTTTCACAGAGTAGGTTTGAAACACTCTTTTTGTACTATCTGGAAGTGGACATTTGGAGCGCCTTGACGCCTACGGTGAAAAGGGAAATATCTTCCCATAAAAACTAGACAGAAGCAATCTCAGAATCTTCTTTGGGATATATGCACGCAGCTAACAGAGTTGAACCTTTCTATTGACAGAGCAGTTTTGAAACAGTCTTTCTGTGGAATCTGCAAATGGATATTTGGATAGCTTGGAGGATTTCGTTGGAAACGGGATTACGTATAAAAAGTAGACAGCAGCATCCTCAGGAACCTTCTTTGTGATGTGTGCATTCAAGTCACAGAGTTGAACATTCCCTTTCGTACAGCAGTTTTGAAACACTCTTTCTGTAGTAACTGGAAGTGAACATTAGGACAGCTTTCAGGTCTATGGTGAGAAAGGAAATATCTTCAAATAAAAACTAGACAGAAGCATTCTCATAAACTTGTTTGTGATGTGTGAACTCAGCTAACAGAGGTGGATCTTTCTTTTGATAGAGCAGTTCTGAAAAACACTTTTTGTTGAATCTGCAAGTGGACATTTGGATAGATTTGAAGATTTCGGTGGAAACGGGAATATCTTCATATCAAATCTAGACAGAAGCATTCTTGGAAACGTCTTTGTGATGTTTGCATTCAACTCATAGAGTTGAACATTCCCTTTCAGAGAGCAGCTTTGAAGCACTCTTTTTGTAGTATGTGCAAGTGGATATTTGGAGCGCTCTGAGGCCTACGGTGAAAAAGCAAATATCTTCCCATAACCACTACACAGAAACATTCTCAGAAACTCCTTTATGACGTATGCACTCACCTAACAGAGAAGAACCTTCCTTTTGACAGAGCAGTTTTGATACACTCTTTTTGTAGAATCTACAAGTGGATATTTGGATAGCTGTGAAGATTTCGTTGGAAACGGGAATATCTTCCTATAAAATCTAGACAGAAGCATTCTCAGAAACTGCTCTGTGATGTCTGCATTCAAGTCACAGAGCTGAACATTGCCTTTCATAGAGCAGGTTTGAAACGCTCTTTTTGTAGTATATGTAAGTGGACGTTTCGGACGGTTTGAGGCCCATGGTGATAAAGGGAATATCTTCCCCTACAAGCTAGAAAGAAGCATTCTGTGAAACTTGTTTGTGATGTGTGTACTCAACTAACAGAGTTGAACCTTTCTTTTTACAGAGCAGTTTTGAAACACTCTTTTTGTAGAATCTGCGAGGGGATATTTGGATAGATTTCATGATTTCGTTTGAAACGGGAATATCTTCATATAAAATCTCGACAGAAGCATTCTCAGAAACTTCTTTGTGATATGTGCATTCAAGTCACAGAGTTGAATATTCCCTTTCACAGAGTAGGTTTGAAACACTCTTTTTGTAGTATCTGGAAGTGGACATTTGGAGCGCCTTGACACCTACGGTGAAAAGGGAAATATCTTCCCATAAAACTAGACAGAAGCAATCTCAGAATCTTCTTTGGGATATATGCACGCAGGTAACAGAGTTGAACCTTTCTATTGACAGAGCAGTTTTGAAACAGTCTTTCTGTGGAATCTGCAAGTGGATATTTGGATAGCTTGGAGGATTTCGTTGGAAACGGGATTACGTATAAAAAGTAGACAGCAGCATCCTCAGAAACTTCTTTGTGATGTGTGCATTCAAGTCACAGAGTTGAACATTCCCTTTCGTACAGCAGTTTTGAAACACTCTTTCTGTAGTATCTGGAAGTGAACATTACGACAGCTTTCAGGTCTATGGTGAGAAAGGAAATATCTTCAAATAAAAACTAGACAGAAGCATTCTCATAAACTTGTTTGTGATGTGTGAACTCAGCTAACAGAGGTGGATCTTTCTTTTGATAGAGCAGTTCTGAAAAACACTTTTTGTTGAATCTGCAAGTGGACATTTGGATAGATTTCAAGATTTCGTTGGAAACGGGAATATCTTCATATCAAATCTAGACGGAAGCATTCTCAGAAACGTCTTTGTGATGTTTGCATTCAACTCATAGAGTTGAACATTCCGTTTCAGAGAGCAGCTTTGAGGCACTCTTTTTGTACTATGTGCAAGTGGATATTTGGAGCGCTCTGAGGCCTACGGTGAAAAAGCAAATATCTTCCCATAACCACTAGACAGAAACATTCTCAGAAACTCCTTTATGACGTATGTACTCAACTAACAGAGAAGAACCTTCCTTTTGACAGAGCAGTTTTGATACACTCTTTTTGTAGAATCTGCAAGTGGATATTTGGATAGCTGTGAAGATTTCGTTGGAAACGGGAATACATTCCTATAAAATCTAGACAGAAGCATTCTCAGAAACTGCTCTGTGATGTCTGCATTCAAGTCACAGAGTTGAACATTGCCTTTCCTAGAGCAGGTTTGAAACGCTCTTTTTGTAGTATATGGAAGTGGACGTTTCGGACGGTTTGAGGCCCATGGTGATAAAGGGAATATCTTCCCCTACAAGCTAGAAAGAAAGCATTCTGTGAAACTTGTTTGTGATGTGTGTACTCAACTAATAGAGTTGAACCTTTCTTTTTACAGAGCAGTTTTGAAACACTCTTTTTGTAGAATCTGCGAGGGGATATTTGGATAGATTTCAGGATTTCGTTGGAAACGGGAATATCTTCATAGAAAATCTCGACAGAAGCATTCTCAGAAGCTTCTTTGTGATATGTGCATTCAAGTCACAGAGTTGAATATTCCCTTTCACAGAGTAGGTTTGAAACACTCTTTTTGTAGTATCTGGAAGTGGACATTTGGAGCGCCTTGACGCCTACGGTGAAAAGGGAAATATCTTCTCATAAAAAGTAGACACAAGCAATCTCAGAATCTTCTTTGGGATATATGCACGCAGCTAACAGAGTTGAACCTTTCTATTGACAGAGCAGTTTTGAAACAGTCTTTCTGTGGAATCTGCAAGTGGATATTTGGATAGCTTGGAGGATTTCGTTGGAAACGGGATTACGTATAAAAAGTACACAGCAGCATCCTCAGAAACTTCTTTGTGATGTGTGCATTCAAGTCACAGAATTGAACATTCCCTTTCGTACAGCAGTTTTGAAACACTCTTTCTGTAGTATCTGGAAGTGAACTTTAGGAGAGCTTTCAGGTCTATAGTGAGAAAGGAAATATCTTCAAATAAAAACTAGACAGAAGCATTCTCCTAAACTTGTTTGTGATGTGTGAACTCAGCTAACAGACGTGGATCTTTCTTTTGATACAGCAGTTTTGAAAAACACTTTTTGTTGAATCTGCAAGTGGACATTTGGATAGATTTGAAGATTTCGTTGGAAACGGGAATATCTTCATATCAAATCTAGACAGAAGCATTCTCAGAAACGTCTTTGTGATGTTTACATTCAACTCATAGAGTTGAACATTCCCTTTCAGAGAGCAGCTTTGAAGCACTCTTTTTGTAGCATGTGCAAGTGGACATTTGGAGCGCTCTGAGGTCTACGGGGAAAAAGCAAATATCTTCCCATAACCACTAGACAGAAACATTCTCAGAAACTCCTTTATGACGTATGCACTCACCTAACAGAAAAGAACCTTCCTTTTGACAGAGCAGTTTTGATACACTCTTTTTGTAGAATCTGCAAGTGGATATTTGGATAGCTGTGAAGATTTCGTTGGAAACGGGAATATCTTCCTATAAAATCTCGACAGAAGCATTCTCAGAAACTGCTCTGTGATGTCTGCATTCAACTCACAGAGTTGAACATTGCCTTTCATAGAGCAGGTTTGAAACGCTCTTTTTGTAGTATATGGAAGTGGACGTTTCGGACGGTTTGAGGCCCATGGTGATAAAGGGAATATCTTCCCCTACAAGCTAGAAAGAAAGCATTCTGTGAAACTTGTTTGTGATGTGTGTACTCAACTAACAGAGTTGAACCTTTCTTTTTACAGAGCAGTTTTGAAACACTCTTTTTGTAGAATCTGCGAGGGGATATTTGGATACATTTCAGCATTTCGTTGGAAACGGGAATATCTTCATATAAAATCTCGACAGAAGCATTCTCAGAAACTTCTTTGTGATATCTGCATTCAAGTCACAGAGTTGAATATTCCCTTTCACAGAGTAGGTTTGAAACACTCTTTTTGTAGTATCTGGAAGTGGACATTTGGAGCGCCTTGACACCTACGGTGAAAAGGCAAATATCTTCCCATAAAAACTAGACAGAAGCAATCTCAGAATCTTCTTTGGGATATATGCACGCAGCTAACAGAGTTGAACCTTTCTACTGACAGAGCAGTTCTGAAACAGTCTTTCTGTGGAATATGCAAGTGGATATTTGGATAGCTTGGAGGATTTCGTTGGAAACGGGATTACGTATAAAAAGTAGACAGCAGCATCCTCAGAAACTTCTTTGTGATGTGTGCATTCAAGTCACAGAGTTGAACATTCCCTTTCGTACAACAGTTTTGAAACACTCTTTCTGTAGTATCTGGAAGTGAACATTAGGACAGCTTTCAGGTCTATGGTGAGAAAGGAAATATCTTCAAATAAAAACTAGACAGAAGCATTCTCATAAACTTGTTTGTGATGTGTGAACTCAGCTAACAGAGGTGGATCTTTCTTTTGATAGAGCAGTTCTGAAAAACACTTTTTGTTGAATCTGCAAGTGGACATTTGGATAGATTAGAAGATTTCGTTGGAAACGGGAATATCTTCATATCAAATCTAGACAGAAGCATTCTCAGAAACGTCTTTGCGATGTTTGCATTCAACTCATAGAGTTGAACATTCCGTTTCAGAGAGCAGCTTTGAGGCACTCTTTTTGTAGTATGTGCAAGTGGATATTTGGAGCCCTCTGAGGCCTACGGTGAAAAAGCAAATATCTTCCCATAACCACTAGACAGAAACATTCTCAGAAACTCCTTTGTGACGTATGCACTCACCTAACAGAAAAGAACCTTCCTTTTCACAGAGCAGTTTTGATACACTCTTTTTGTAGAATCTGCAAGTGGATATTTGGATAGCTGTGAAGATTTCGTTGGAAACGGGAATATCTTCCTATAAAATCTAGACAGAAGCATTCTCAGAAACTGCTCTGTGATGTCTGCATTCAAGTCACAGAGTTGAACATTGCCTTTCCTAGAGCAGGGTTGAAATGCTCTTTTTGTAGTATATGGAAGTGGACGTTTCGGACGGTTTGAGGCCCATGGTGATAAAGGGAATATCTTCCCCTACAAGCTAGAAAGAAGCATTCTGTGAAACTTGTTTGTGATGTGTGTACTCAACTAACAGAGTTGAACCTTTCTTTTTACAGAGCAGTTTTGAAACACTCTTTTTGTAGAATCTGCGAGGGGATATTTGGATACATTTCAGGATTTCGTTGGAAACGGGAATATCTTCATATAAAATCCCGACAGAAGCATTCTCAGAAGCTTCTTTGTGATATGTGCATTCAAGTCACAGAGTTGAATATTCCCTTTCACAGAGTAGGTTTGAAACACTCTTTTTGTAGTATCTGGAAGTGGACATTTGGAGCGCCTTGACGCCTACGTTGAAAAGGGAAATATCTTCTCATAAAAAGTAGACAGCAGCAATCTCAGAATCTTCTTTGGGATATATGCACGCAGCTAACAGAGTTGAACCTTTCTATTGACAGAGCAGTTTTGAAACAGTCTTTCTGTGGAATCTGCAAGTGGATATTTGGATAGCTTGGACGATTTCGTTGGAAACGGGATTACGTATAAAAAGTAGACAGCAGCCTCCTCAGAAACTTCTTTGTGATGTGTGCATTCAAGTCACAGAGTTGAACATTCCCTTTCGTACAGCAGTTTTGAAACACTCTTTCTGTAGTATCTGGAAGTGAACATTAGGACAGCTTTCAGGTCTATGGTGAGAAAGGAAATATCTTCAAATAAAAACTAGACAGAAGCATTCTCATAAACTTGTTTGTGATGTGTGAACTCAGCTAACAGACGTGGATCTTTCTTTTGATACAGCAGTTTTGAAAAACACTTTTTGATGAATCTGCAAGTGGACATTTGGATAGATTTGAAGATTTCGTTGGAAACGGGAATATCTTCATATCAAATCTAGACAGAAGCATTCTCAGAAACGTCTTTGGGATGTTTGCATTCAACTCATACAGTTGAACATTCCGTTTCAGAGAGCAGCTTTGAAGCACTCTTTTTGTAGTATGTGCAAGTGGATATTTGGAGCGCTCTGAGGCCTACGGTGAAAAAGCAAATATCTTCCCATAACCACTAGACAGAAACATTCTCAGAAACTCCTTTATCACGTATGCACTCACCCAACAGAGAAGAACCTTCCTTTTGACAGAGCAGTTTTGATACACTCTTTTTGTAGAATCTGCAAGTGGATATTTGGATAGCTGTGAAGATTTCGTTGGAAACGGGAATATCTTCCTATAAAATCTAGACAGAAGCATTCTCAGAAACTGCTCTGTGATGTCTGCATTCAAGTCACAGAGTTGAACATTGCCTTTCCTAGAGCAGGTTTGAAACGCTCTTTTTGTAGTATATGGAAGTGGACGTTTCGGACGGTTTGAGGCCCATGGTGATAAAGGGAATATCTTACCCTACAAGCTAGAAAGAAGCATTCTGTGAAACTTGTTTGTGATGTGTGTACTCAACTAACAGAGTTCAACCTTTCTTTTTACAGAGCAGTTTTGAAACACTCTTTCTGTAGAATCTGCGAGGGGATATTTGGATAGATTTCAGGATTTCGTTGGAAACGGGAATATCTTCATATAAAATCTCGACAGAAGCATTCTCAGAAACTTCTTTGTGATATGTGCATTCAAGTCACAGAGTTGAATATTCCCTTTCACAGAGTAGGTTTGAAACACTCCTTTTGTAGTATCTGGAAGTGGACATTTGGAGCGCCTTGACGCCTACGGTGAAAAGGGAAATATCTTCCCATAAAAACTAGACAGAAGCAATCTCAGAATCTTCTTTGTGATATATGCACCCAGCTAACAGAGTTGAACCTTTCTATTGACAGAGCAGTTTTGAAACAGTCTTTCTGTGGAATCTGCAAGTGGATATTTGGATAGCTTGGAGGATTTCGTTGGAAACGGGATTACGTATAAAAAGTAGACAGCAGCATCCTCAGAAACTTCTTTGTGATGTGTGCATTCAAGTCACAGAGTTGAACATTCCCTTTCGTACAGCAGTGTTGAAACACTCTTTCTGTAGTATCTGGAAGTGAACATTAGGACAGCTTTCAGGTCTATGGTGAGAAAGGAAATATCTTCAAATAAAAACTAGACAGAAGCATTCTGATAAACTTGTTTGTGAAGTGTGAACTCAGCTAACAGAGGTGGATCTTTCTTTTGATAGAGCAGTTCTGAAAAACACTTTGTTGAATCTGCAAGTGGACATTTGGATAGATTTGAAGATTTCGTTGGAAACGGGAATATCTTCATATCAAATCTAGACAGAAGCATTCTCAGAAACGTCTTTGTGATGTTTGCATTCAACTCATAGAGTTGAACATTCCCTTTCAGAGAGCAGCTTTGAAGCACTCTTTTTGTAGTATGTGCAAGTGGATATTTGGAGAACTCTGAGGCCTACGGTGAAAAAGCAAATATCTTCCCATAACCACTAGACAGAAACATTCTCAGAAACTCCTTTATGACGTATGTACTCAACTAACAGAGAAGAACCTTCTTTTTGACTGAGCAGTTTTGATACACTCTTTTTGTAGAATCTGCAAGTGCATATTTGGATAGCTGTGAAGATTTCGTTGGAAACGGGAATATCTTCCTATAAAATCTAGACAGAAGCATTCTCAGAAACTGCTCTGTGATGTCTGCATTCAAGTCACAGAGTTGAATATTCCCTTTCACAGAGTAGGTTTGAAACACTCTTTTTGTAGTATCTGGAAGTGGACATTTGGAGCGCCTTGACGCCTACGGTGAAAAGGGAAATATCTTCCCATAAAAACTAGACAGAAGCATTCTGTGAAACTTGTTTGTGATGTGTGTACTCAACTAACAGAGTTGAACCTTTCTTTTTACAGAGCAGTTTTGAAACACTCTTTTCGTAGAATCTGCGAGGGGATATTTGGATAGATTTCAGGATTTCGTTGGAAACGGGAATATCTTCATATAAAATCTCGACAGAAGCATTCTCTGAAACTTCTTTGTGATATGTGCATTCAAGTCACAGAGTTGAATATTCCCTTTCACAGAGTAGGTTTGAAACACTCTTTTTGTAGTATCTGGAAGTGGACATTTGGAGCGCCTTGACGCCTACGGTGAAAAGGGAAATATCTTCTCATAAAAAGTAGACAGAAGCAATCTCAGAATCTTCTTTGGTATATATGCACGCAGCTAACAGAGTTGAACCTTTCTATTGACAGAGCAGTTTTGAAACAGTCTTTCTGTGGAATCTGCAAGTGGATATTTGGATAGCTTGGAGGATTTCGTTGGAAACGGGATTACGTATAAAAAGTAGACAGCAGCATCCTCAGAAACTTCTTTGTGATGTGTGCATTCAAGTCACAGAGTTGAACATTCCCTTTCGTACAGCAGTTTTGAAACACTCTTTCTGTAGTATCTGGAAGTGAACATTATGACAGCTTTCAGGTCTATGGTGAGAAAGGAAATATCTTCAAATAAAAACTAGACAGAAGCATTCTCATAAACTTGTTTGTGATGTCTGAACTCAGCTAACAGGTGGATCTTTCTTTTGATAGAGCAGTTCTGAAAAACACTTTTTGTTGAATCTGCAAGTGGACATTTGGATAGATTTGAAGATTTCGTTGGAAACGGGAATATCTTCATATCAAATCTAGACAGAAGCATTCCCAGAAACGTCTTTGTGATGTTTGCATTCAACTCATAGAGTTGAACATTCCCTTTCAGAGAGCAGCTTTGAAGCACTCTTTTTGTAGTATGTGCAAGGGGATATTTGGAGTGCTCTGAGGCCTACGGTGAAAAAGCAAATATCTTCCCATAACCACTAGACAGAAACATTCTCAGAAACTCCTTTATGACGTATGCACTCACCTAACAGAGAAGAACCTTCCTTTTGACAGTGCAGTTTTGATACACTCTTTTTGTAGAATCTGCAAGTGGATATTTGGATAGCTGTGAAGATTTCGTTGGAAACGGGAATATCTTCCTATAAAATCTAGACAGAAGCATTCTCAGAAACTGCTCTGTGATGTCTGCATTCAACTCACAGAGTTGAACATTGCCTTTCATAGAGCAGGTTTGAAACACTCTTTTTGTAGTATATGGAAGTGGACGTTTCGGACGGTTTGAGGCCCATGGTGATAAAGGGAATATCTTCCCCTACAAGCTAGAAAGAAGCATTCTGTGAAACTTGTTTGTTATGTGTGTACTCAACTAACAGAGTTGAACCTTTCTTTTCACAGAGCAGTTTTGAAACACTCTTTTTGTAGAATCTGCGAGGGGATATTTGGATAGATTTCAGGATTTCGTTGGAAACGGGAATATCTTCATATAAAATCTCGACAGAAGCATTCTCAGAAACGTCTTTGTGATATGTATATTCAAGTCACAGAGTTGAATATTCCCTTTCACAGAGTAGGTTTGAAACACTCTTTTTGTAGTATCTGGAAGGGGACATTTGGAGCACCTTGACGCCTACGGTGAAAAGGGAAATATCTTCCCATAAAAACTAGACAGAAGCAATCTCAGAATCTTCTTTGGGATATATGCACGCAGCTAACAGAGTTGAACCTTTCTATTGACAGAGCAGTTTTGAAACAGTCTTTCTGTGGAATCTGCAAGTGGATATTTGGATAGATTAGAGGATTTCGTTGGAAACGGGATTACGTATAAAAAGTAGACAGCAGCATCCTCAGAAACTTCTTTGTGATGTGTGCATTCAAGTCACAGAGTTGAACATTCCCTTTCGTACAGCAGTTTTGAAACACTCTTTCTGTAGTATCTGGAAGTGAGCATTAGGAGAGCTTTCAGGTCTATGGTGAGAAAGGATATATCTTCAAATAAAAACTAGACAGAAGTATTCTGATAAACTTGTTTGTGAAGTGTGAACTCAGCTAACAGAGGTGGATCTTTCTTTCGAAACAGCAGTTTCGAAAAACACTTTTTGTTGAATCTGCAAGTGGACATTTGAATAGATTTGAAGATTTCGTTGGAAATGGGAATATCTTCATATCAAATCTAGACAGAAAGCATTCTCAGAAACGTCTTTGTCATGTTTGCATTCAACTCATAGAGTTGAACATTCCCTTTCAGAGAGCAGCTTTGAAACACTCTTTTTGTAGTATGTGCAAGTGGATATTTGGAGCGCTCTGAGGCCTAAGGTGAAAAAGCAAATATCTTCCCATAACCACTAGACAGAAACATTCTCAGAAACTCCTTTAAACGTATGCACTCACCTAACAGAGAAGAACCTTCCTTTTGACAGAGCAGTTTTGATACACTCTTTTTGTAGAATCTGCAAGTGGATATTTGGATAGCTGTGAAGATTTCGTTGGAAACGGGAATATCTTCCTATAAAATCTAGACAGAAGCATTCTCAGAAACTGCTCTGTGATGTCTGCATTCAAGTCACAGAAGTTGAACATTGCCTTTCATAGAGCAGGTTTGAAACGCTCTTTTTGTAGTATATGGAAGTGGACGTTTCGGACGGTTGGAGGCCCACGGTGATAAAGGGAATATCTTCCCCTACAAGCTAGAAAGAAGCATTCTGTGAAACTTGTTTGTGATGTGTGTACTCAACTAATAGAGTTGAACCTTTCTTTTTACAGAGCAGTTTTGAAACACTCTTTTTGTAGAATCTGCGAGGGGATATTTGGATAGATTTCAGGATTTCGTTGGAAACGGGAATATCTTCATATAAAATACTCGACAGAAGCATTAGCAGAAACTTCTTTGTGATATGTGCATTCAAGTCACAGAGTTGAATATTCCCTTTCACAGAGTAGGTTTGAAACACTCTTTTTTTAGTATCTGGAAGTGGACATTTGGAGCGCCTTGACGCCTATGGTGAAAAGGGAAATATCTTCCCATAAAAACTAGACAGAAGCAATCTCAGAATCTTCTTTGTGATATATGCACGCAGCTAACAGAGTTTAACCTTTCTATTGACAGAGCAGTTTTGAAACAGTCTTTCTGTGGAATCTGCAAGTGGATATTTGGATAGATTGGAGGATTTCGTTGGAAACGGGATTACGTATAAAAAGTAGACAGCAGCATCCTCAGAATCTTCCTTGTGACGTGTGCATTCAAGTCACAGAGTTGAACATTCCCTTTCGTACAGCAGTTTTGAAAAACTCTTTCTGTAGTATCTGGAAGTGAACTTTAGGAGAGCTTTCAGGTCTATAGTGAGAAAGGATATATCTTCAAATAAAAACTAGACAGAAGAATTCTGATAAACTTGTTTGTGAAGTGTGAACTCAGCTAACACAGGTGGATCTTTCTTTTGATACAGCAGTTTTGAAAAACACTTTGTTGAATCTGCAAGTGGACATTTGGATAGATTTGAAGATTTCGTTGGAAACGGGAATATCTTCATATCAAATCTAGACAGAAGCATTCTCAGAAACGTCTTTGTGATGTTTGCATTCAACTCATAGAGTTGAACATTCCCTTTCAGAGAGCAGCTTTGAAGCACTCTTTTTGTAGTATGTTCAAGTGGACATTTGGAGCGCTTTGAGGCATACGGGGAAAAAGCAAATATCTTCCCATAACCACTAGACAGAAACATTCTCAGAAACTCCTTTATGACGTATGCACTCACCTAACAGAGAAGAACCTTCCTTTTGACAGAGCAGTTTTGATACACTCTTTTTGTAGAATCTGCAAGTGGATATTTGGATAGCTGTGAAGATTTCGTTGGAAATGGGAATATCTTCCTATAAAATCTAGACAGAAGCATTCTCAGAAACTGCTCTGTGATGTCTGCATTCAAGTCACAGAGTTGAACATTGCCTTTCATAGAGCAGGTTTGAAACGCTCTTTTTGTAATATATGGCAGTGGACGTTTCGGACGGTTTGAGGACCATGGTGATAAAGGGAATATCTTCCCCTACAAGCTAGAAAGAAGCATTCTGTGAAACTTGTTTGTGATGTGTGTACTCAACTAACAGAGTTGTACCTTTCTTTTCACAGAGCAGTTTTGAAACACTCTTTTTGTAGAATCTGCGAGGGGATATTTGGATAGATTTCAGGATTTCGTTGGAAACGGGAATATCTTCATATAAAATCTCGACAGAAGCATTCTCAGAAACTTCTTTGTGATATCTGCATTCCAGTCACAGAGTTGAATATTCCCTTTCACAGAGTAGGTTTGAAACACTCTTTTTGCAGTATCTGGAAGTGGACATTTGGAGCGCCTTGACGCCTACGGTGAAAAGGGAAATATCTTCCCATAAAAACTAGACAGAAGCAATCTCCGAATCTTCTTTGGGATATATGCACGCAGCTAACAGAGTTGAACCTTTCTATTGACAGAGCAGTTTTGAAACAGTCTTTCTGTGGAATCTGCAAGTGGATATTTGGATAGCTTGGAGGATTTCGTTGGAAAAGGGATTATGTATAAAAAGTAGACAGCAGCATCCTCAGAAACTTCTTTGTGATGTGTGCATTCAAGTCACAGAGTTGAACATTCCCTTTCGTACAGCAGTTTTGAAACATTCTTTCTGTAGTATCTGGAAGTGAACATTAGGACAGCTTTCAGGTCTATGGTGAGAAAGGAAATATCTTCAAATAAAAACTAGACAGAAGCATTCTCATAAACTTGTTTGTGATGTCTGAACTCAGCTAACAGACGTGGATCTTTCTTTTGATACAGCAGTTTTGAAAAACACTTTTTGTTGAATCTGCAAGTGGACATTTGGATAGATTTGAAGATTTCGTTGGAAACGGGAATATCTTCATATGAAATCTAGACAGAAGCATTCTCAGAAACGTCTTTGTGATGTTTGCATTCAACTCATAGAGTTGAACATTCCCTTTGAGAGAGCAGCTTTGAAGCACTCTTTTTGTAGCATGTGCATGTGGACATTTGGAGCGCCCTGAGGCCTATGGGGAAAAAGCAAATATCTTCCCATAACCACTAGACAGAAACATTCTGAGAAACTCCTTTATGACGTATGCACTCACCTAACCGAGAAGAACCTTCCTTTTGACAGAGCATTTTTGATACACTCTTTTTGTAGAATCTGCAAGTGGATATTTGGATAGCTGTGAAGATTTCGTTGGAAACGGGAATATCTTCCTATAAAATCTAGACAGAAGCATTCTCAGAAACTGCTCTGTGATGTCTGCATTCAAGTCACAGAGTTGAACATTGCCTTTCATAGAGCAGGTTTGAAACGCTCTTTTTGTAGTATATGTAAGTGGACGTTTCGGACAGTTTGAGGCCCATGGTGATAAAGGGAATATCTTCCCCTACAAGCTAGAAAGAAGCATTCTGTGAAACTTGTTTGTGATGTGTGTACTCAACTAACAGAGTTGAACCTTTCTTTTTACAGAGGAGTTTTGAAACACTCTTTTTGTAGAATCTGCGAGGGGATATTTGGATAGATTTCAGGATTTCGTTGGAAACGGGAATATCTTCATATAAAATCTCGACAGAAGCATTCTCAGAAACTTCTTTGTGATATGTGCATTCAAGTCACAGAGTTGAATATTCCCTTTCGCAGTGTAGGTTTGAAACACTCTTTTTGTAGTATCTGGAAGTGGACATTTGGAGCGCCTTGACGCCTACGGTGAAAAGGGAAATATCTTCCCATAAAAACTAGACAGAAGCAATCTCAGAATCTTCTTTGGGATATATGCACGCAGCTAACAGAGTTGAACCTTTCTACTGACAGAGCAGTTTTGAAACAGTCTTTCTGTGGAATCTGCAAGTGGATATTTGGATAGCTTGGAGGATTTCGTTGGAAACGGGATTACGTATAAAAAGTAGACAGCAGCATTCTCAGAAACTTCTTTGTGATGTGTGCATTCAAGTCACAGAGTTGAACATTCCCTTTTGTAGAACAGGTTTGAAACACTCTTTCTGTAGTATCTGGAAGTGAACATTTCGAGAGCTTTCAGGCCTATGGTGAGAAAGGAAATATCTTCAAATAAAAACTAGACAGAAGCATTCTCATAAACTTGTTTGTGATGTGTGAACTCAGCTAACAGAGGTGGATCTTTCGATAGAGCAGTTCTGAAAAACACTTTTTGTTGAATCTGCAAGTGGACATTTGGATAGATTTGAAGATTTCGTTGGAAACGGGAATATCTTCATATCAAATCTAGACAGAAGCATTCTCAGAAACGTCTTTGCGATGTTTGCATTCAACTCATAGAGTTGAACATTCCGTTTCAGAGAGCAGCTTTGAAGCACTCTTTTTGTAGTATGTGCAAGTGGATATTTGGAGCGCTCTGAGGCCTACGGTGAAAAAGCAAATATCTTCCCATAACCACTAGACAGAAACATTCTCAGAAACTCCTTTATGACGTATGCCCTCACCTAACAGAGAATAACCTTCCTTTTGACAGAGCATTTTTGATACACTCTTTTTGTAGCATCTGCAAGTGGATATTTGGATAGCTGTGAAGATTTCGTTGGAAACGGGAATATCTTCCTATAAAATCTAGACAGAAGCATTCTCAGAAACTGATCTGTGATGTCTGCATTCAAGTCACAGAGTTGAACATTGCCTTTCGTAGAGCAGGTTTGAAACGCTCTTTTTGTAGTATATGGAAGTAGACGTTTCGGACGGTTTGAGGCCCATGGTGATAAAGGGAATATCTTCCCCTGCAAGCTAGAAAGAAGCATTCTGTGAAACTTGTTTGTGATGTGTGTACTCAACTAACAGAGTTGAACCTTTCTTTTTACAGAGCAGTTTTGAAACACTCTTTTTGTAGAATCTGTGAGGGGATATTTGGATAGATTTGAGGATTTCGTTGGAAACGGGAATATCTTCATATAAAATCTCGACAGAAGCATTCTCAGAAACTTCTTTGTGATATGTGTATTCAAGTCACAGAGTTGAATACTCCCTTTCACAGAGTAGGTTTGAAAAACTCTTTTTGTAGTATCTGGAAGTGGACATTTGGAGCGCCTTGACGCCTACGGTGAAAAGGGAAATATCTTCCCATAAAAACTAGACAGAAGCAATCTCAGAATTTTCTTTGGGATATATGCACACAGCTAACAGAGTTGAACTTTTCTATTGACATAGCAGTTTTGAAACAGTCTTTCTGTGGAATCTGCAAGTGGATATTTGGATAGCTTGGAGGATTTCGTTGGAAACGGGATTACGTATAAAAAGTAGACAGCAGCATCCTCAGAAACTTTTTTGTGATGTGTGCATTCAAGTCACAGAGTTGAACATTCCCTTTAGTACAGCAGTTTTGAAACACTCTTTCTGTAGTATCTGGAAGTGAACATTAGGACAGCTTTCAGGTCTATGGTGAGAAAGGAAATATCTTCAAATAAAAACTAGACAGAAGCATTGTCATAAACTTGTTTGTGATGTGTGAACTCAGCTAACAGAGGTGGATCTTTCTTTTGATAGAGCAGTTCTGAAAAACACGTTTTGTTGAATCTGCAAGTGGACATTTGGATAGATTTGAAGATTTCGTTGGAAACGGGAATATCGTCATATCAAATCTAGACAGAAGCATTCTCAGAAACGTCTTTGCGATGTTTGCATTCAACTCATAGAGTTGAACATTCCGTTTCAGAGAGCAGCTTTGAGGCACTCTTTTTGTAGTATGTGCAAGTGGATATTTGGAGTGCTCTGAGGCCTACGGTGAAAAAGCAAATATCTTCCCATAACCACTAGACAGAATCATTCTCAGAAACTCCTTTATGACGTATGCACTCACCTAACAGAGAAGAACCTTCCTTTTGACAGAGCAGTTTTGATACACTCTTTTTGTAGAATCTGCAAGTGGATATTGGGATAGCTGTGAAGATTTCGTTGGAAACGGGAATATCTTCATATAAAATCTCGACAGAAGCATTCTCAGAAACTGCTCTGTGATGTCTGCATTCAAGTCACAGAGTTGAACATTGCCTTTCATAGAGCAGGTTTGAAACCCTCTTTTTGTAGTATATGGAAGTGGACTTATCGGACGGTTTGAGGCCCATGGTGATAAAGGGAATATCTTCCCCTACAAGCTAGAAAGAAGCATTCTGTGAAACTTGTTTGTGAGGTGTGTACTCAACTAACAGAGTTGAACCTTTCTTTTTACAGAGCAGTTTTGAAACAGTCTTTTTGTAGAATCTGCGAGGGGATATTTGGATAGATTTCAGGATTTCGTTGGAAACGGGAATATCTTCATATAAAATCTCGACAGAAGCATTCTCAGAAACTTCTTTGTGATATCTGCATTCAAGTAACAGAGTTGAATATTCCCTTTCACATAGTAGGTTTGAAACACTCTTTTTGTAGTATCTGGAAGTGGACATTTGGAGCTCTGTGACGCCTATGGTGAAAAGGAAAATATCTTCCCATAAAAACTAGACAGAAGCAATCTCAGAATCTTCTTTGGGATATATGCACGCAGCTAACAGAGTTGAACCTTACTATTGACAGAGCAGTTTTGAAACAGTCTTTCTGTGGAATCTGCAAGTGGATATTTGGATAGCTTGGAGGATTTCGTTGGAAACGGGATTACGCATAAAAAGTAGACAGCAGCATCCTCAGAAACTTCTTTGTGATGTGTGCATTCAAGTCACAGAGTTGAACATTCCCTTTCGTACAGCAGTTTTGAAACACTCTTTCTGTAGTATCTGGAAGTGAACATTAGGACAGCTTTCAGGTCTAGGGTGAGAAAGGAAATACCTTCAAATAAAAACTAGACAGAAGCATTCTCATAAACTTGTTTGTGATGTCTGAACTCAGCTAACAGAGGTGGATCTTTCTTTTGATAGAGCAGTTCTGAAAAACACTTTTTTTTGAATCTGCAAGTGGACATTTGGATAGATTTGAAGATTTCGTTGGAAACGGGAATATCTTCATATCAAATCTAGACAGAAGCATTCTCAGAAACAGTCTTTGTGATGTTTGCATTCAACTCATAGAGTTGAACATTCCGTTTCAGAGAGCAGCTTTGAAGCACTCTTTTTGTAGTATGTGCAAGTGGATATTTGGAGCGCTCTGAGGCCTACGGTGAAAAAGCAAATATCTTCCCATAACCACTAGACAGAAACATTCTCAGAAACTCCTTTATGAAGTATGTACTCAACTAACAGAGAAGAACCTTCCTTTTGACAGAGCAGTTTTGATACACTCTTTTTGTAGAATCTGCAAGTGGATATTTGGATAGCTATGAAGATTTCGTTGGAAACGGGAATATCTTCCTATAAAATCTAGACAGAAGCATTCTCAGAAACTGCTCTGTGATGTCTGCATTCAAGTCACAGAGTTGAACATTGGTTTTCCTAGAGCAGGTTTGAAACGCTCTTTTTGTAGTATATGGAAGTGGACGTTTCGGACGTTTTGAGGCCCATGGTGATAAAGGGAATATCTTCCCCTACAAGCTAGAAAGAAGCATTCTGTGAAACTTGTTTGTGATGTGTGTACTCAACTAACAGGGTTCAACCTTTCTTTTTACAGAGCAGTTTTGAAACAATCTTTTTGTAGAATCTGCGAGGGGATATTTGGATAGATTTCAGGATTTCGTTGGAAACGGGAATATCTTCATAGAAAATCTCGACAGAAGCATTCTCAGAAACTTCTTTGTGATATGTGCATTCAAGTCACAGAGTTGAATATTCCCTTTCACAGAGTAGGTTTGAAACACTCTTTTTATAGTATCTGGAAGTGGACATTTGGAGCGCCTTGACACCTACGGTGAAAAGGGAAATATCTTCCCATAAAAACTAGACAGAAGCAATCTCAGAATCTTCTTTGGGATATATGCATGCAGCTAACAGAGTTGAACCTTTCTATTGACAGAGCAGTTTTGAAACAGTCTTTCTGTGGAATCTGCAAGTGGATATTTGGATAGCTGGGAGGATTTCGTTGGAAACGGGATTACGTATAAAAAGTAGACAGCAGCATCCTCAGAAACTTCTTTGTGATGTGTGCATTCAAGTCACAGAGTTGAACATTCCCTTTCGTACAGCAGTTTTGAAACACTCTTTCTGTAGTATCTGCAAGTGTACATTAGGACAGCTTTCAGGTCTATGGTGAGAAAGGAAATATCTTCATATGAAAACTAGACAGAAGCATTCTCATAAACTTGTTTGTGATGTGTGAACTCAGCTAACAACGGTGGATCTTTCTTTTGATAGAGCAGTTCTGAAAAACACTTTTTGTTGAATCTGCAAGTGGACATTTGGATAGTTTTGAAGATTTCCTTGGAAACGGGAATATCTTCATATCAAATCTAGACAGAAGCATTCTCAGAAACGTCTTTGCGATGTTTGCATTCAACTCATAGAGTTGAACATTCCGTTTCAGAGAGCAGCTTTGAGGCACTCTTTTTGTAGTATGTGCAAGTGGATATTTGGAGCGCTCTGAGGCCTACGGTGAAAAAGCAAATATCTTCCCATAACCACTAACAGAAACATTCTCAGAAACTCCTTTATGACGTATGCACTCACCTAACAGAAAAGAACCTTCCTTTTGACAGAGCAGTTTCGATACACTCTTTTTGTAGAATCTGCAAGTGGATATTTGGATAGCTGTGAAGATTTCGTTGGAAACGGGAATATCTTCCTATAAAATCTAGACAGAAGCATTCCCAGAAACTGCTCTGTGATGTCTGCATTCAAGTCACAGAGTTGAACATTGCCTTTCATAGAGCAGGTTTGAAACGCTCTTTTTGTAGTATATGGAAGTGGACTTATCGGACGGTTTGAGGCCCATGGTGATAAAGGGAATATCTTCCCCTACATGCTAGAAAGAAGCATTCTGTGAAACTTGTTTGTGATGTGTGTACTCAACTAACAGAGTTGAACCTTTCTTTTCACAGAGCAGTTTTGAAACACTCTTTTTGTAGAATCTGCGAGGGGATATTTGGATAGATTTCAGCATTTCGTTGGAAACGGGAATATCTTCATATAAAATACTCGACAGAAGCATTCTCAGAAACTACTTTGTGATATGTGCATTCAAGTCACAGAGTTGAATATTCCCTTTCACAGAGTAGGTTTGAAACACTCTTTTTGTAGTATCTGGAAGTGGACATTTGGAGCGCCTTGACACCTACGGTGAAAAGGGAAATATCTTCCCATAAAAACTAGACAGAAGCAATCTCAGAATCTTCTTTGGGATATATGCACGCAGCTAACAGAGTTGAACCTTTCTATTGACAGAGCAGTTTTGAAACAGTCTTTCTGTGGAATCTGCAAGTGGATATTTGGATAGCTTGGAGGATTTCGTTGGAAACGGGATTACGTATAATAAGTAGACAGCAGTATCCTCAGAAACTTCTTTGTGATGTGTGCATTCAAGTCACAGAGTTGAACATTCCCTTTCGTACAGCAGTTTTGAAACACTCTTTCTGTAGTATCTGGAAGTGAACATTAGGACAGCTTTCAGCTCTATGGTGAGAAACAAAATATCTTCAAATAAAAACTAGACAGAAGCATTCTCATAAACTTGTTTGTGATGTGTGAACTCAGCTAAGAGACGTGGATCTTTCTTTTGATAGAGCTGTTCTGAAAAACACGTTTTGTTGAATCTGCAAGTGGACATTTGGATAGATTTGAAGATTTCGTTGGAAACGGGAATATCTTCATATCAAATCTAGACAGAAGCATTCTCGGAAACGTCTTTGTCATGTTTGCATTCAACTCATAGAGTTGAACATTCCGTTTCAGAGAGCAGCTTTGAAGCACTCTTTTTGTAGTATGTGCAAGGGGATATTTGGAGCGCTCTGAGGCCTAAGGTGAAAAAGCAAATATCTTCCCATAACCACTAAACAGAAACATTCTCAGAAACTCCTTTATGACGTATGCACTCACCTAACAGAGAAGAACCTTCCTTCTGACAGAGCAGTTTTGATACACTCTTTTTGTAGAATCTGCAAGTGGATATTTGGATAGCTGTGAAGATTTCGTTGGAAACGGGAATATCTTCCTATAAAATCTAGACAGAAGCATTCTCAGTAAACTGCTCTGTGATGTCTGCATTCAAGTCACAGAGTTGAACATTGCCTTTCATAGAGCAGGTTTGAAACGCTCTTTTTGTAGTATATGGAAGTGGATGTTTCGGACGGTTGGAGGCCCATGGTGATAAAGGGAATATCTTCCCCTACAAGCTAGAAAGAAGCATTCTGTGAAACTTGTTTGTGAGGTGTGTACTCAACTAACAGAGTTGAACCTTTCTTTTTACAGAGCAGTTTTGAAACACTGTTTTTGTAGAATCTGCGAGGGGATATTTGGATAGATTTCAGGATTTCGTTGGAAACGGGAATATCTTCATATAAAATCTCGACAGAAGCATTCTCAGAAACTTCTTTGTGACATGTGCATTCAAGTCACAGAGTTGAATATTCCCTTTCACAGAGTAGGTTTGAAACACTCTTTTTGTAGTATCTGGAAGTGGACATTTGGAGCGCCTCGACGCCTACGGTGAAAAGGGAAATATCTTCCCATAAAAACTAGACAGAAGCAGTCTCAGAATCTTCTTTGGGATATATGGACACAGCTAACAGAGTTGAACTTTTCTATTGACAGAGCAGTTTTGAAACAGTCTTTCTGTGGAATCTGCAAGTGGATATTTGGATAGCTTGGAGGATTTCGTTGGAAACGGGATTACGTATAAAAAGTAGACAGCAGCATCCTCAGAAACTTCTTTGTGATGTGTGCATTCAAGTCACAGAGTTGAACATTCCCTTTCGTACAGCAGTTTTCAAACACTCTTTCTGTAGTATCTGGAAGTGAACATTAGGACAGCTTTCAGCTCTATGGTGAGAAAGGAAATATCTTCAAATAAAAACTAGAGAGAAGCATTCTCATAAACTTGTTTGTGATGTGTGAACTCAGCTAACAGAGGTGGATCTTTCTTTTGATAGAGCAGTTCTGAAAAACACTTTTTGTTGAATCTGCAAGTGGACATTTGGATAGATTTGAAGATTTCTTTGGAAACGGGAATATCTTCATATCAAATCTAGACAGAAGCATTCTCAGAAACGTCTTTGCGATGTTTGCATTCAACTCATAGAGTTGAACATTCCGTTTCAGAGAGCAGCTTTGAGGCACTCTTTTTGTAGTATGTGCAAGTGGATATTTGAAGCGCTCTGAGGCCTACGGTGAAAAAGCAAATATCTTCCCATAACCACTAACAGAAACATTCTCAGAAACTCCTTTATGACGTATGTACTCAACTAACAGAGAAGAACCTTCCTTTTGACAGAGCAGTTTTGATAGACTCTTTTTGTAGAATCTGCAAGTGGATATTTGGATAGCTGTGAAGATTTCGTTGGAAACTGGAATATCTTCCTATAAAATCTAGACAGAAGCATTCTCAGAAACTGCTCTGTGATGTCTGCATTCAAGTCACAGAGTTGAACATTGCCTTTCCTAGAGCAGGTTTGAAACGCTCTTTTTGTAGTATATGGAAGTGGACGTTTCGGACGGTTTGAGGCCCATGGTGATGAAGGGAATATCTTCCCCTACAAGCTAGAAAGAAGCATTCTGTGATACTTGTTTGTGATGTGTGTACTCAACTAACAGAGTTGAACCTTTCTTTTTACAGAACAGTTTTGAAACACTCTTTTTGTAGAATCTGAGAGGGGATATTTGGATAGATTTCAGGATTTCGTTGGAAACGGGAATATCTTCATATAAAATCTCGACAGAAGCATTCTCAGAAACTTCTTTGTGATATGTGCATTCAAGACACAGAGTTGAATATTCCCTTTCACAGAGTAGGTTTGAAACACTCTTTTTGTAGTATCTGGAAGTGGACATTTGGAGCGCCTTGACGCCTACGGTGAAAAGGGAAATATCTTCCCATAAAAACTAGACAGAAGCAATCTCAGAATCTTCTTTGGGATATATGCACGCAGCTAACAGAGTTGAACCTTTCTATCGACAGAGCAGTTTTGAAACAGTCTTTCTGTGGAATCTGCAAGTGGATATTTCGATAGCTTGGAGGATTTCGTTGGAAACGGGATTACGTATAAAAAGTAGACAGCAGCATCCTCAGAAACATCTTTGTGATGTGGGCATTCAAGTCACAGAGTTGAACATTCCCTTTCGTACAGCAGTTTTGAAACACTCTTTCTGTAGTATCTGGAAGTGAACATTAGGACAGCTTTCAGGTCTATGGTGAGACAGGAAATATCTTCAAATAAAAACTAGACAGAAGCATTCTCAAGAACTTGTTTGTTATGTGTGAACTCAGCTAACAGAGGTGGATGTTTCTTTTGATAGAGCAGTTTTGAAAAACACTTTTTGTTGAATCTGCAAGTGGACATTTGGATAGATATGAAGATTTCGTTGGAAACGGGAATATCTTCATATCAAATCTAGACAGAAGCATTCTCAGAAACGTCTTTGCGATGTTTGCATTCAACTCACAGAGTTGAACATTCCGTTTCAGAGAGCAGCTTTGAGGCACTCTTTTTGTACTATGTGCAACTGGATATTTGGAGCGCTCTGAGGCCTACGGTGAAAAAGAAAATATCTTCCCATAACCACTAGACAGAAACATTCTCAGAAACTCCTTTATGACGTATGCACTCACTTAACAGAAAAGAACCTTCCTTTTGACAGAGCAGTTTTGATACACTCTTTTTGTACAATCTGCAAGTGGATATTTGGATAGCTGTGAAGATTTCGTTGGAAACGGGAATATCTTCCTATAAAATCTAGACAGAAGCATTCTCAGAAACTGCTCTGTGATGTCTGCATTCAAGTCACAGAGTTGAACATTGCCTTTCATAGAGCAGGTTTGAAACGCTCTTTTTGTAGTATATGGAAGTGGACGTTACGGACGGTTTGAGGCCCATGGTGATAAAGGGAATATCTTCCCCTACAAGCTAGAAAGAAGCATTCTGTGAAACTTGTTTGTGATGTGTGTACTCAACTAACAGAGTTGAACCTTTCTTTTTACAGAGCAGTTTTGAAACACTCTTTTTGTAGAATCTGCGAGGGGATTTTTGGATAGATTTCAGGATTTCGTTGGAAACGGGAATATCTTCATAAAACATCTCGACAGAAGTATTCTCAGAAACTTCTTTGTGATATGTGCATTCAAGTCACAGAGTTGAATATTCCCTTTCACAGAGTAGGTTTGAAACACTCTTTTTGTAGTATCTGGAAGTGGACATTTGGAGCGCCTTGACGCCTACGGTGAAAAGGGAAATATCTTCTCATAAAAAGTAGACAGAAGCAATCTCAGAATCTTCTTTGGGATATATGCACGCAGCTAACAGAGTTGAACCTTTCTATTGACAGAGCAGTTTTGAAACAGTCTTTCTGTGGAATCTGCAAGTGGATATTTGGATAGCTTGGAGGATTTCCTTGGAAACGGGATTACGTACAAAAAGTAGACAGCAGCATCCTCAGAAACTTCTTTGTGATGTGTGCATTCAAGTCACAGAGTTGAACATTCCCTTTCGTACAGCAGTTTTGAAACACTCTTTCTGTAGTATCTGGAAGTGAACATTAGGACAGCTTTCAGGTCTATGGTGAGAAAGGAAATATCTTCAAATAAAAATTAGACAGAAGCATTCTGATAAACTTGTTTGTGAAGTGTGATCTCAGCTAACAGAGGTGGATCTTTCTTTTGATAGAGCAGTTCTGAAAAACACTTTGTTGAATCTGCAAGTGGACATTTGGATAGATTTGAAGATTTCGTTGGAAACGGGAATTTCTTCATATCAAATCTAGACAGAAGCATTCTCAGAAACGTCTTTGTCATGTTTGCATTCAACTCATAGAGTTGAACATTCCGTTTCAGAGAGCAGCTTTGAAGCACTCTTTTTGTAGTATGTGCAAGTGGATATTTGGAGCGCTCTGAGGCCTACGGTGAAAAAGCAAATATCTTCCCATAACCACTAGACAGAAACATTCTCAGAAACTCCTTTACGACGTATGCACTCACCTAACAGAGAAGAACCTTCCTTTTGACAGAGCAGTTTTGATACACTCTTTTTGTAGAATCTGCAAGTGGATATTTGGATAGCTGTGAAGATTTCGTTGGAAACGGGAATATCTTCCTATAAAACCTAGACAGAAGCATTCTCAGAAACTGCTCTGTGATGTCTGCATTCAAGTCACAGAGTTGAACATTGCCTTTCATAGAGCAGGTTTGAAACGCTCTTTTTGTAGTATATGGAAGTAGACGTTTGGAGTGCATTGACGCCTACGGTGAAAAGGGAAATATCTTCCCATAAAAACTAGACAGAAGCATTCTGTGAAACTTGTTTGTGATGTGTGTACTCAACTAACAGAGTTGAACCTTTCTTTTTACAGAGCAGTTTTGAAACACTCTTTTTGTAGAATCTGCGATGGGATATTTGGATACATTTCAGCATTTCGTTGGAAACGGGAATATCTTCATATAAAATACTCGACAGAAGCATTCTCAGAAACTTCTTTGTGATATGTGCATTCAAGTCACAGAGTTGAATATTCCCTTTCACAGAGTAGGTTTGAAACACTCTTTTTGTAGTATCTGGAAGTGGACATTTGGAGCGCCTTGACGCCTTCGGTGAAAAGGGAAATATCTTCCCATAAAAACTAGACAGAAGCAATCTCAGAATCTTCTTTGGGATATATGCACGCAGCTAACAGAGTTGAACCTTTCTATTGACAGTGCAGTTTTGAAATAGTCTTTCTGTGGAATCTGCAAGTAGATATTTGGATAGCTAGGAGGATTTCGTTGGAAACGGGATTACGTATAAAAAGTAGACAGCAGCATCCTCAGAAACTTCTTTGTGATGTGTGCATTCAAGTCACAGAGTTGAACATTCCCTTTCGTAGAGCAGTTTTGAAACACACTTTCTGTAGTATCTGGAAGTGAACATTAGGACAGCTTTCAGGTCTATGGTGAGAAAGGAAATATCTTCAAATAAAAACTAGACAGAAGCATTCTCAAGAACTTGTTTGTTATGTGTGAACTCAGCTAACAGAGGTGGATGTTTCTTTTGATAGAGCAGTTCTGAAAAACACGTTTTGTTGAATCTGCAAGTGGACATTTGGATAGATTTGAAGATGTCGTTGGAAACGGGAATATCTTCATATCAAATCTAGACAGAAGCATTCTCAGAAACGTCTTTGTGATGTTTGCATTCAACTCATAGAGTTGAACATTCCCTTTCAGAGAGCAGCTTTGAAGCACTCTTTTTGTAGTATGTGCAAGTGGATATTTGGAGCGCTCTGAGGCCTAAGGTGAAAAAGCAAATATCTTCCCATAACCACTAGACAGAAACATTCTCAGAAACTCCTTTATGACGTATGCACTCACCTAACAGAGAAGAACCTTCCTTTTGACAGAGCAGTTTTGATACACTCTTTTTGTAGAATCTGCAAGTGGATATTTGGATAGCTGTGAAGATTTCGTTGGAAACGGGAATATCTTTCTATAAAATCTACACAGAAGCATTCTCAGAAACTGCTCTGTGATGTCTGCATTCAAGTCACAGAGTTGAACACTGCCTTTCCTAGAGCAGGTTTGAAACGCTCTTTTTGTAGTATATGGAAGTGGACGTTTCGGACGGTTTGAGGCCCATAGTGATAAAGGGAATATCTTCCCCTACAAGCTAGAAAGAAGCATTCTGTGAAACTTGTTTGTGATGTGTGTAGTCAACTAACAGAGTTGAACCTTTCTTTTTACAGAGCAGTTTTGAAACACTCTTTTTGTAGAATCTGCGAGGGGATATTTGGATAGATTTCAGGATTTCGTTGGAAAGGGGAATATCTTCATATAAAATCTCGACAGAAGCATTCTCAGAAACTTCTTTGTGATATGTGCATTCAAGTCACAGAGTTGAATATTCCCTTTCACAGAGTAGGTTTGAAACACTCTTTTTGTAGTATCTGGAAGTGGACATTTGGAGCGCCTTGACGCCCACGGTGAAAAGGGAAATATCTTCCCATCAAAACTAGACAGAAGCAATCTCAGAATCTTCTTTGGGATATATGCACGCAGCTAACAAAGTTGAACCTTTCTATTGACAGAGCAGTTTTGAAACAGTCTTTCTGTGGAATCTGCAAGTGGATATTTGGATAGATTGGAGGATTTCGTTGGAAACGGGATTACGTATAAAAAGTAGACAGCAGCATCCTCAGAAACTTCTTTGTGATGTGTGCATTCAAGTCACAGAGTTGAACTTTCCCTTTCGTACAGCAGTTTTGAAACACTCTTTCTGTAGTATCTGGGAGTGAACATTAGGACAGCTTTCAGGTCTATGGTGAGAAAGGAAATATCTTCAAATAAAAACTAGACAGAAGCGTTCTCATAAACTTGTTTGTGATGTGTGAACTCAGCTAACAGAGGTGGATCTTTCTTTTGATAGAGCAGTTCTGAAAAACACTTTTTGTTGAATCTGAAAGTGGACATTTGGATAGATTTGAAGATTTCGTTGGAAACGGGAATATCTTCATATCAAATCTAGACAGAAGCATTCTCAGAAACGTCTTTGTGATGTTTGCATTCAACTCATAGAGTTGAACATTCCCTTTCAGAGAGCAGCTTTGAAGCACTCTTTTTGTAGTATGTGCAAGGGGATATTTGGAGCGCTCTGAGGCCGACGGTGAAAAAGCAAATATCTTCCCATAACCACTAGACAGAAACATTCTCAGAAACTCCTTTATGACGTATGTACTCAACTAACAGAGAAGAACATTCCGTTTGACAGAGCAGTTTTGATACACTCTTTTTGTAGAATCTGCAAGTGGATATTTGGATAGCTGTGAAGGTTTCGTTGGAAACGGAAATATCTTCCTATAAAATCTAGACAGAAGCATTCTCAGAAACTGCTCTGTGATGTCTGCATTCAAGTCACAGAGTTGAACATTGTCTTTCATACAGCAGGTTTGAAGCGCTCTTTTTGTAGTATATGGAAGTGGACGTTTCGGACGGTTTGAGGCCCATGGTGATAAAGGGAATATCTTCCCCTACAAGCTAGAAAGAAGCATTGTGTGAAACTTGTTTGTGATGTGTGTACTCAACTAACAGAGTTGAACCTTTCTTTTTACAGAGCAGTTTTGAAACACTCTTTTTGTAGAATCTGCGAGGGGATATTTGGATAGATTTCAGGATTTTGTTGGAAACCGGAATATCTTCATATAAAATCTCGACAGAAGCATTCTCAGAAACTTCTTTGTGATATGTGTGTTCAAGTCACAGAGTTGAATACTCCCTTTCACAGAGTAGGTTTGAAACACTCTTTTTGTAGTATCTGGAAGTGGACATTTGGAGCGCCTTGACGCCTACGGTGAAAAGGGAAATATCTTCCCATAAAAACTAGACAGAAGCAATCTCAGAATCTTCCTTGGGATATATGCACGCAGCTAACAGAGTTGAACCTTTCTATTGACAGAGCAGTTTTGAAACAGTCTTTCTGTGGAATCTGCAAGTGGATATTTGGATAGATTGGAGGATTTCGTTGGAAACGGGATTACGTATAAAAAGTAGACAGCAGCATCCTCAGAAACTTCTTTGTGATGTGTGCATTCAAGTCACAGAGTTGAACATTCCCTTTCGTACAGCAGTTTTGAAACACTCTTTGTGTAGTATCTGGAAGTGAACATTAGGACAGCTTTCAGGTCTATGGTGAGAAAGGAAATATCTTCAAATAAAGACTAGACAGAAGCATTCTCATAAACTTGTTTGTGATGTGTGAACTCAGCTTACAGAGGTGGATCTTTCTTTTGATAGAGCAGTTCTGAAAAACACTTTTTGTTGAATCTGCAAGTGGACATTTGGATAGATTTGAAGATTTCGTTGGAAACGGGAATATCTTCATATCAAATCTAGACAGAAGCATTCTCAGTAAACGTCTTTGTGATGTTTGCATTCAACTCATAGAGTTGAACATTCCCTTTCAGAGAGCAGCTTTGAAGCACTCTTTTTGTAGCATGTGCAAGTGGACATTTGGAGCGCCCTGAGGCCTACGGGGAAAAAGCAAATATCTTCCCATAACCACTAGACAGAAACATTCTCAGAAACTCCTTTATGACGTATGCACTCACCTAACAGAGAAGAACCTTCCTTTTGACAGAGCAGTTTTGATACACTCTTTTTGTAGAATCTGCAAGTGGATATTTGGATACCTGTGAAGATTTCGTTGGAAACGGGAATATCTTCCTATAACATCTAGACAGAAGCATTCTCAGAAACTGCTCTGTGATGTCTGCATTCAAGTCACAGAGTTGAACATTGCCTTTCCTAGATCAGGTTTGAAACGCTCTTTTTGTAGTATATGGAAGTGGACGTTTCGGACGGTTTGAGGCCCATGGTGATAAAGGGAATATCTTCCCCTACAAGCTAGAAAGAAGCATTCTGTGAAACTTGTTTGTGATGTGTGTACTCAAGTAACAGAGTTGAACCTTTCTTTTTACAGAGCAGTTTTGAAACACTCTTTTTGTAGAATCTGCGAGGGGATATTTGGATAGATTTCAGGATTTCGTTGGAAACGGGAATATCTTCATATAAAATCTCGACAGAAGCATTCTCAGGAACTTCTTTGTGATATGTGCATTCAAGTCACAGAGTTGAATATTCCCTTTCACAGAGTAGGTTTGAAACACTCTTTTTGTAGTATCTGGAAGTGGACATTTGGAGCGCCTTGACACCTACGGTGAAAAGGGAAATATCTTCCCATAAAAACTAGACAGAAGCAATCTCAGAATCTTCTTTGGGATATATGCACGCAGCTAACAGAGTTGAACGTTTCTATTGACAGAGCAGTTTTGAAACAGTCTTTCTGTGGAATCTGCAAGTGGATATTTGGATAGCTTGGAGGATTTCGTTGGAAACGGGATTACGTATAAAAAGTAGACAGCAGCATCCTCAGAAACTTCTTTGTGATGTGTGCATTCAAGTCACAGAGTTGAACATTCCCTTTCGTACAGCAGTTTTCAAACACTCTTTCTGTAGTATCTGGAAGTGAACATTAGGACAGCTTTCAGCTCTATGGTGAGAAAGGAAATATCTTCAAATAAAAACTAGACAGAAGCATTCTGATAAACTTGTTTGTGAAGTGTGAACTCAGCTAACGGAGGTGGATCTTTCTTTTGATAGAGCAGTTCTGAAAAACACTTTTTGTTGAATCTGCAAGTGGACATTTGGATAAATTTGAAGATTTCGTTGGAAACGGGAATATCTTCATATCAAATCTAGACAGAAGCATTCTCAGAAACGTCTTTGTGATGTTTGCATTCAACTCATAGAGTTGAACATTCCGTTTCAGAGAGCAGCTTTGAAGCACTCTTTTTGTAGTATGTGCAAGTGGATATTTGGAGCGCTGTGAGGTCTACGGTGAAAAAGCAAATATCTTCCCATAACCACTAGACTGAAACATTCTCAGAAACTCCTTTACGACGTATGCACTCACCTAAGAGAGAAGAACCTTCCTTTTGACAGAGCAGTTTTGATACACTCTTTTTGTAGAATCTGCAAGTGGATATTTGGATAGCTGTGAAGATTTCGTTGGAAACGGGAATATCTTCCTATAAAATCTAGACAGAAGCATTCTCAGAAACTGCTCTGTGATGTCTGCATTCAAGTCACTGAGTTGAACATTGCCTTTCATAGAGCAGGTTTGAAACGCTCTTTTTGTACTATATGGAAGTGGACGTTTCGGACGGTTTGAGGCCCATGGTGATAAAGGGAATATCTTCCCCTACAAGCTAGAAAGAAGCATTCTGTGAAACTTGTTTGTGATGTGTGTACTCAAGTAACAGAGTTGAACCTTTCTTTTTACAGAGCAGTTTTGAAACACTCTTTTTGTAGAATCTGCGAGGGGATATTTGGAGAGATTTCAGGATTTCGTTGGAAACGGGAATATCTTCATATAAAATCTCGACAGAAGCATTCTCAGAAACTTCTTTGTGATATGTGCATTCAAGTCACAGAGTTGAATATTCCCTTTCACAGAGTAGGTTTGAAACACTCTTTTTGTAGTATCTGGAAGTGGACATTTGGAGCCCCTTGACGCCTACGGTGAAAAGGGAAATATCTTCCCATAAAAACTAGACAGAAGCAATCTCAGAATCTTCTTTGGGATATATGCACGCAGCTAACAGAGTTGAACCTTTCTATTGACAGAGCAGTTTTGAAACAGTCTTTCGGTGGAATCTGCAAGTGGATATTTGGATAGCTTGGAGGATTTCGTTGGAAACGGGATTACGTATAAAAAGTAGACAGCAGCATCCTCAGAAACATCCTTGTGATGTGTGCATTCAAGTCACAGAGTTGAACATTCCCTTTCGTACAGCAGTTTTGAAACACTCTTTCTGTAGTATCTGGAAGTGAACTTTAGGACACCTTTCAGGTCTATAGTGAGAAAGGATATATCTTCAAATAAAAACTAGACGGAAGCATTCTCATAAACTTGTTTGTGATGTGTGAACTCAGCTAACAGAGGCGGATCTTTCTTTTGATAGAGCAGTTCGGAAAAACACTTTTTGTTGAATCTGCAAGTGGACATTTGGATAGATTTGAAGATTTCCGTTGGAAACGGGAATATCTTCATATCAAATCTAGACAGAAGCATTCTCAGAAACGTCTTTGCGATGTTTGCATTCAACTCATAGAGTTGAACATTCCGTTTCAGAGAGCAGCTTTGAGGCACTCTTTTTGTAGTATCTGCAAGTGGATATTTGGAGCGCTCTGAGGCCTACGGTGAAAAAGCAAATATCTTCCCATAACCACTAGACAGAAACATTCTCAGAAACTCCTTTATGACGTATGCACTTACCTAACAGAGAAGAACCTTCCTTTTGACAGAGCAGTTTTGATACACTCTTTTTGTAGAATCTGCAAGTGGATATTTGGATAGCTGTGAAGATTTCGTTGGAAACGGGAATATCTTCCTATAAAATCTACACAGAAGCATTCTCAGAAACTGCTCTGTGATGTCTGCATTCAAGTCACAGAGTTGAACATTGCCTTTCATAGAGCAGGTTTGAAACGCTCTTTTTGTAGTATATGGAAGTGGACGTTTCGGACAGTTTGAGGCCCATGGTGATAAAGGGAATATCTTCCCCTACAAGCTAGAAAGAAGCATTGTGTGAAACTTGTTTGTGATGTGTGTACTCAACTAACAGAGTTGAACCTTTCTTTTTACAGAGCAGTTTTGAAACACTCTTTTAGTAGAATCTGCAAGGGGATATTTGGATAGATTTCAGGATTTCGTTGGAAACGGGAATATCTTCATATAAAAATTCGACAGAAGCATTCTCAGAAACTTCCTTGTGATATGTGCATTCAGGTCACAGAGTTGAATATTCCCTTTCACAGAGTAGGTTTGAAACACTCTTTTTGTAGTATCTGGAAGTGGACATTTGGAGCGCCTTGACGCCTACGGTGAAAAGGGAAATATCTTCCCATAAAAACTAGACAGAAGCAATCTCAGAATCTTCTTTGGGATATATGCACGCAGCTAACAGAGTTGAACCTTTCTATTGACAGAGCAGTTTTGAAACAGTCTTTCTGTGGAATCTGCAAGTGGATATTTGGATAGCTTTGAGGATTTCGTTGGAAACGGGATTACGTATAAAAAGTAGACAGCAGCATCCTCCGAAACATCTTTGTGATGTGTGCATTCAAGTCACAGAGTTGAACATTCCCTTTCGTACAGCAGTTTTGAAACACTCTTTCTGTAGTATCTGGAAGTGAACATTAGGACAGCTTTCAGGTCTATGGTGAGAAAGGAAATACCTTCCAATAAAAACTAGACAGAAGCATTCTCATAAACTTGTTTGTGATGTCTGAACTCAGCTAACAGACGTGGATATTTCTTTTGATACAGCAGTTTTGAAAAACACTTTTTGTTGAATCTGCAAGTGGACATTTGGATAGATTTGAAGATTTCGTTGGAAACGGGAATATCTTCATATCAAATCTAGACAGAAGCATTCTCAGAAACGTCTTTGTGATATTTGCATTCAACTCATAGAGTTGAACATTCCCTTCCAGAGAGTAGCTTTGAAGCACTCTTTTTGTAGCATGTGCAAGTGGACATTTGGAGCGCCCTGAGGCCTACGGGTAAAAAGCAAATATCTTCCCATAACCACTAGACAGAAACATTCTCAGAAACTCCTTTATGACGTATGCACTCACCTAACAGAGAAGAACCTTCCCTTTTGACAGAGCAGTTTTGATACACTCTTTTTGTAGAATCTGCAAGTGGATATTTGGATAGCTGTGAAGATTTCGTTGGAAACGGGAATATCTTCCTATAAAATCTAGACAGAAGCATTCTCAGAAACTGCTCTCTGATGTCTGCATTCAAGTCACAGAGTTGAACATTGTCTTTCATAGAGCAGGTTTGAAACGCTCTTTTTGTAGTATATGGAAGTGGACGTTTCGGACGGTTTGAGGCCCATGGTGATAAAGGGAATATCTTCCCCTACAAGCTAGAAAGAATCATTCTGTGAAACTTGTTTGTGATGTGTGTACTCAAGTAACAGAGTTGAACCTTTCTTTTTACAGAGCAGTTTTGAAACACTCTTTTTGTAGAATCTGCGAGGGGATATTTGGAGAGATTTCAGGATTTCGTTGGAAACGGGAATATCTTCATATAAAATCTCGACAGAAGCATTCTCAGAAACTTCTTTGTGATATGTGCATTCAAGTCACAGAGTTGAATATTCCCTTTCACAGAGTAGGTTTGAAACACTCTCTTTGTAGTATCTGGAAGTGGACATTTGGAGCGCCTTGACGCCTACGGTGAAAAGGGAAATATCTTCCCATAATAACTAGACAGAAGCAATCTCAGAATCTTCTTTGGGATATATGCACGCAGCTAACAGAGTTGAACCTTTCTATTGACAGAGCAGTTTTGAAACAGTCTTTCTGTGGAATCTGCAAGTGGACATTTGGATAGCTTGGAGGATTTCGTTGGAAACGGGATTACGTATAAAAAGTAGACAGCAGCATCCTCAGAAACTTCTTTGTGATGTGTGCATTCAAGTCACAGAGTTGAACATTCCCTTTCGTACAGCAGTTTTGAAACACTCTTTCTGTAGTATCTGGAAGTGAACACTAAGACAGCTTTCAGCTCTATGGTGAGAAAGGAAATATCTTCAAATAAAAACTAGACAGAAGCATTCTCATAAACTTGTTTGTGATGTGTGAACTCAGCTAACGGACGTGGATCTTTCTTTTGATACAGCAGTTTTGAAAAACACTTTTTGTTGAATCTGCAAGTGGACATTTGGATAGATTTGAAGATTTCGTTGGAAACGGGAATATCTTCATATCAAGTCCAGACAGAAGCATTCTCAGAAACGTCTTTGTGATGTTTGCATTCAACTCATAGATTTGAACATTCCGTTTCAGAGAGCAGCTGTGAAGCACTCTTTTTGTAGTATGTGCAAGGGGATATTTGGAGCGCTCTGAGGCCTACGGTGAAAAAGCAAATATCTTCCCATAACCACTAGACAGAACATTCTCAGAAACTCCTTTATGACGTATGCACTCACCTAACAGAGAAGAACCTTCCTTTTGACAGAGCAGTTTTGATACACTCTTTTTGTAGAATCTGCAAGTGGATATTTGGATAGCTGTGAAGATTTCGTTGGAAACGGGAATATCTTCCTATAAAATCTAGACAGAAGCATTCTCAGAAACTGCTCTGTGATGTCTGCATTCAAGTCACAGAGTTGAACATTGCCTTTCATAGAGCAGGTTTCAAACGCTCTTTTTGTAGTATATGGAAGTGGACGTTTCGGACGGTTTGAGGCCCATGGTGATGAAGGAAATATCTTCCCCTACAAGCTAGAAAGAAGCATTGTGTGAAACTTGTTTGTGATGTGTGTACTCAACTAACAGAGTTGAACCTTTCTTTTTACACAGCAGTTTTGAAACACTCTTTTTGTAGAATCTGCGAGGGGATATTTGGATAGATTTCAGGATTTCGTTGGAAACGGGAATATCTTCATATAAAATCTCGACAGAAGCATTCTCAGGAAACTTCTTTGTGATATGTGCATTCAAGTCACAGAGTTGAATATTCCCTTTCACAGAGTAGGTTTGAAACACTCTTTTTGTAGTATCTGGAAGTGGACATTTGGAGCGCCTTGACACCTACGGTGAAAAGGGAAATATCTTCCCATCAAAACTAGACAGAAGCAATCTCAGAATTTTCTTTGGGATATATGTACGCAGCTAATAGAGTTGAACCTTTCTATTGACAGAGCAGTTTTGAAACAGTCTTTCTGTGGAATCTGCAAGTGGATATTTGGATAGCTTGGAGGATTTCGTTGGAAACGGGATTACGTATAAAAAGTAGACAGCAGCATCCTCAGAAACATCCTTGTGATGTGTGCATTCAAGTCACAGAGTTGAACATTCCCTTTCGTACAGCAGTTTTGAAACACTCTTTCTGTAGTATCTGGAAGTGAACATTAGGACAGCTTTCAGGTCTATGGTGAGAAAGGAAATATCTTCAAATAAAAACTAGACGGAAGCATTCTCATAAACTTGTTTGTGATGTGTGAACTCAGCTAACAGAGGTTGGATCTTTCTTTTGATAGAGCAGTTCTGAAAAACACTTTTTGTTGAATCTGCAAGTGGACATTTGGATAGATTTGAAGATTTCGTTGGAAACGGGAATATCTTCATATCAAATCTAGACAGAAGCATTCTCAGAAACGTCTTTGTGATGATTGCATTCAACTCATAGAGTTGAACATTCCGTTTCAGAGAGCAGCTTTGAAGCACTCTTTTTGTAGTATGTGCAAGTGGATATTTGGAGTGCTCTGGGGCTTACGGTGAAAAAGCAAATATCTTCCCATAACCACTAGACAGAAACATTCTCAGAAACTCCTTTATGACGTATGCACTCACCTAACAGAGAAGAACCTTCTTTTTGACAGAGCAGTTTTGATACACTCTTTTTGTAGAATCTGCAAGTGGATATTTGGATAGCTGTGAAGATTTCTTTGGAAACGGGAATATCTTCCTATAAAGTATAGACAGAAAGCATTCTCAGAAACTGCTCTGTGATGTCTGCATTCAAGTCACAGAGTTGAACATTGCCTTTCATAGAGCAGGTTTGAAATGCTCTTTTTGTAGTATATGGAAGTGGACGTTTCAGACGGTTTGAGGCCCATGGTGATAAAGGGAATATCTTCCCCTACAAGCTAGAAAGAGCATTCTGTGAAACTTGTTTGTGATGTGTGTACTCAACTAACAGAGTTGAACCTTTCTTTTTACAGAGCGGTTTTGAAACACTCTTTTTGTAGAATCTGCGAGGGGATATTTCGATAGATTTCAGGATTTCGTTGGAAACGGGAATATCTTCATATAAAATCTCGACAGAAGCATTCTCAGAAACTTCTTTGTGATATCTGCCTTCAAGTCACAGAGTTGAATATTCCCTTTCACAGAGTAGGTTTGAAACACTCTTTTTGTAGTATCTGGAAGTGGACATTTGGAGCGCCTTGACGCCTATGGTGAAAAGGGAAATATCTTCCCATAAAAACTAGACAGAAGCAATCTCAGAATCTTCTTTGGGATATATGCACGCAACTAACAGAGTTGAACCTTTCTATTGACAGAGCAGTTTTGAAACAGTCTTTCTGTGGAATCTGCAAGTGGATATTTGGATAGCTTGGAGGATTTCGTTGGAAACGGGATTACGTATAAAAAGTAGACAGCAGCATCCTCAGAAACTTCTTTGTGATGTGTGCATTCAAGTCACAGAGTTGAACATTCCCTTTCATACAGCAGTTTCGAAACACTCTTTCTGTAGTATCTGGAAGTGAACTTTAGGAGAGCTTTCAGGTCTATAGTGAGAAAGGTTATATCTTCAAATAAAAACTAGACAGAAGCATTCTCATCAACTTGTTTGTGATGTGTGAACTCAGCTAACAGAGGTGGATCTTTCTTTTGATAGAGCAGTTCTGAAAAACACGTTTTGTTGAATCTGCAAGTGGACATTTGGATAGATTTGAAGATTTCGTTGGAAACGGGAATATCTTCATATCAAATCTAGACAGAAGCATTCTCAGAAACGTCTTTGTGATGTTTGCATTCAACTCATAGAGTTGAACATTCCGTTTCAGAGAGCAGCTTTGAAGCACTCTTTTTGTAGTATGTGCAAGAGGATATTTGGAGCGCTCTGAGGCCTACGGTGAAAAAGCAAATATCTTCCCATAACCACTAGACAGAAACATTCTCAGAAACTCCTTTATGACGTATGCACTCACCTAACAGAGAAGAACCTTCCTTTTGACAGAGCAGTTTTGATGCACTCTTTTTGTAGAATCTGCAAGTGGATATTTGGATAGCTGTGAAGATTTCGTTGGAAACGGGAATATCTTCCTATAAAATCTAGACAGAAGCATTCTCAGAAACTGCTCTGTGATGTCTGCATTCAAGTCACAGAGTTGAACATTGCCTTTCATAGAGCAGGTTTGAAATGCTCTTTTTGTAGTATATGGAAGTGGACGTTTCAGTCGGTTTGAGGCCCATGGTGATAAAGGGAATATCGTCCCCTACAAGCTAGAAAGAAGCATTCTGTGAAACTTGTTTGTGATGTGTGTACTCAACTAACAGAGTTGAACCTTTCTTTTTACAGAGCAGTTTTGAAACTCTCTTTTTGTAGAATCTGCGAGGGGATATTTGGATAGATTTCAGGATTTCGTTGGAAACGGGAATATCTTCATATAAAATCTCGACAGAAGCATTCTCAGAAACTTCTTTGTGATAGGTGCATTCAAGTCACAGAGTTGAATATTCCCTTTCACAGAGTAGGTTTGAAACACTCTTTTTGTAGTATCTGGAAGTGGACATTTGGAGCGCCTTGACGCCTACGGTGAAAAGGGAAATATCTTCCCATAAAAACTAGACAGAAGCAATCTCAGAATCTTCTTTGGGATATATGCACGCAGCTAACAGAGTTGAACCTTTCTATTGACAGAGCAGTTTTGAAACAGTCTTTCTGTGGAATCTGCAAGTGGATATTTGGAGAGCTTGGAGGATTTCGTTGGAAACGGGATTACGTATAAAAAGTAGACAGCAGCATCCTCCGAAACTTCTTTGTGATGTGTGCATTCAAGTCACAGAGTTGAACATTCCCTTTCGTACAGCAGTTTTGAAACACTCTTTCTGTAGTATCTGGAAGTGAACATTAGGACAGCTTTCAGCTCTATGGTGAGAAAGGAAATATCTTCAAATAAAAACTACACAGAAGCATTCTCATAAACTTGTTTGTGATGTGTGAACACAGCTAACAGAGGTGGATCTTTCTTTTGATAGAGCAGTTCTGAAAAACACTTTTTGTTGAATCTGCTAGTGGACATTTGGATAGATTTGAAGATTTCGTTGGAAACGGGAATATCTTCATATCAAATCTAGACAGAAGCATTCTCAGAAACGTCTTTGTGATGTTTGCATTCAACTCATAGAGTTGAACATTCCGTTTCAGAGAGCAGCTTTGAGGCACTCTTTTTGTAGTATGTGCAAGTGGATATTTGGACCGCTCTGAGGCCTGCGGTGAAAAAGCAAATATCTTCCCATAACCACTAGACAGAAATATTGTCAGAAACTCCTTTATGACGTTTGCACTCACCTAACAGAGAAGAACCTTCCTTTTGACAGAGCAGTTTTGATACACTCTTTTTGTAGAATCTGCAAGTGGATATTTGGATAGCTGTGAAGATTTCGTTGGAAACGGGAATATCTTCCTATAAAATCTAGACAGAAGCATTCTCAGAAACTGCTCTGTGATGTCTGCATTCAAGTCACAGAGTTGAACATTGCCTTTCATAGAGCAGGTTAGAAACGCTCTTTTTGTAGTATATGGAAGTGGATGTTTCGGACGGTTGGAGGCCCATGGTGATAAAGGGAATATCTTCCCCTACAAGCTAGAAAGAAGCATTCTGTGAAACTTCTTTGTGATGTGTGTACTCAACTAACAGAGTTGAACCTTTCTTTTTACAGAGCAGTTTTGAAACACTCTTTTTGTAGAATCTGCGAGGGGATATTTGAATAGATTTCAGGATTTCGTTGGAAACGGGAATATCTTCATAGAAAATCTCGACAGAAGCATTCTCAGAAACTTCTTTGTGATATGTGCATTCAAGTCACAGAGTTGAATATTCCCTTTCACAGAGTAGGTTTGAAACACTCTTTTTGTAGTATCTGGAAGTGGACATTTGGAGCGCCTTGACGCCTACGGTGAAAAGGAAAATATCTTCTCATAAAAAGTAGACAGAAGCAATCTCAGAATCTTCTTTGGAATATATGCATGCAGCTAACAGAGTTGAACATTTCTATTGACAGAGCAGTTTTGAAACAGTCTTTCTGTGGAATCTGCAAGTGGATATTTGGATAGCTTGGAGGATTTCGTTGGAAACGGGATTACGTATAAAAAGTAGACAGCAGCATCCTCAGAAACTTCCTTGTGATGCGTGCATTCAAGTCACAGAGTTGAATATTCCCTTTCGTACAGCAGTTTTGAAACACTCTTTCTGTAGTATCTGGAAGTGAACTTTAGGAGAGCTTTCAGGTCTATAGTGAGAAAGGAAATATCTTCAAATAAAAACTAGACAGAAGCATTCTGATAAACTTGTTTGTGAAGTGTGAACTCAGATAACAGAGTTGGATCTTTCTTTTGATAGAGCATTTCTGAAAAACACTTTTTGTTGAATCTGCAAGTGGACATTTGGATAGATTTGAAGATTTCGTTGGAAACGGGAATATCTTCATATCAAATCTAGACGGAAGCATTCTCAGAAACGTCTTTGTGATGTTTGCATTCAACTCATAGAGTTGAACATTCCGTTTCAGAGAGCAGCTTTGAAGCACTCTTTTTGTAGTATGTGCAAGAGGATATTTGGAGCGCTCTGAGGCCTACGGTGAAAAAGCAAATATCTTCCCATAACCAGTAGACAGAAACATTCTCAGAAACTCCTTTATGACGTGTGCACTCACCTAACAGAGAAGAACCTTCCTTTTGACAGAGCAGTTTTGATACACTCTTTTTGTAGAATCTGCAAGTGGATATTTGGATAGCTGTGAAGATTTCGTTGGAAACGGGAATATCTTCCTATAAAATGTAGACAGAAGCATTCTCAGAACCTGCTCTGTGATGTCTGCATTCAAGTCACAGAGTTGAACATTGCCTTTCCTAGAGCAGGTTTTAACGCTCTTTTTGTAGTATATGGAAGTGGACGTTTCGGACGGTTTGAGGCCCATGGTGATAAAGGGAATATCTTCCCCTACAAGCTAGAAAGAAGCATTCTGTGAAACTTGTTTGTGATGTGTGTACTCAACTAACAGAGTTGAACCTTTCTTTTTACAGAGCAGTTTTGAAACACTCTTTTTGTAGAATCTGCGAGGGGATATTTGGATAGATTTCAGGATTTCGTTCGAAACGGGAATATCTTCATATAAAATCTCGACAGAAGCATTCTCAGAAACTTCTTTGTGATATCTGCATTCAAGTCACAGAGTTGAATATTCCCTTTCACAGAGTAGGTTTGAAACACTCTTTCTGTAGTATCTGGAAGTGGACATTTGGAGCGCCTTGACGCCTATGGTGAAAAGGGAAATATCTTCCCATAAAAACTAGACAGAAGCAATCTCAGAATCTTCTTTGGGATATATGCACGCAGCTAACAGAGTTGAATCTTTCTATTGACAGAGCAGTTTTGAAACAGTCTTTCTGTGTAATCTGCAAGTGGATATTTGGTTAGATTGGAGGATTTCGTTGGAAACGGGATTACGTATAAATAGTAGACAGCAACATCCTCAGAAACTTCTTTGTGATGTGTGCATTCAAGTCACAGAGTTGAACATTCCCTTTCGTACAGCAGTTTTGAAACACTCTTTCTGTAGTATCTGGAAGTGAACATTAGGACAGCTTTCAGGTCTATGGTGAGAAAGGAAATATCTTCAAATAAAAACTAGACAGAAGCATTCTCATAAACTTGTTTGTGATGTCTGAACTCAGCTAACAGAGGTGGATCTTTCTTTTGATAGAGCAGTTCTGAAAAACACTTTTTGTTGAATCTGCAAGTGGACATTTGGATAGATTTGAAGATTTCGTTGGAAACGGGAATATCTTCATATCAAATACTAGACAGAAGCATTCTCAGAAACGTCTTTCTGATGTTTGCATTCAACTCATAGAGTTGAACATTCCGTTTCAGAGAGCAGCTTTGAAGCACTCTTTTTGTAGTATGTGCAAGAGGATATTTGGAGCGCTCTGAGGCCTACGGTGAAAAAGCAAATATCTTCCCATAACCACTAGACAGAAGCATTCTCAGAAACTTCTTTATGACGTATGTACTCAACTAGCAGAGAAGAACTTTCCTTTTGACAGAGCATTTTTGATACACTCTTTTTGTACTATCTGCAAGTGGATATTTGGATAGCTGTGAAGATTTCGTTGGAAACGGGAATATCTTCCTATAAAGTCTGGACAGAAGCATTCTCAGAAACTGCTCTGTGATGTCTGCATTCAAGTCACAGAGTTGAACATTGCCTTTCATAGAGCAGGTTTCAAACACTCTTTTTTTAGTATATGGAAGTGGACGTTTCGGACGGTTTGAGAACCATGGTGATAAAGGAAATATCTTCCCCTACAAGCTAGAAAGAAGCATTCTGTGAAACTTGTTTGTGATGTGTGTACTCAACTAACAGAATTGAACCTTTCTTTTTACAGAGCAGTTTTGAAACACTCTTTTTGTAGAATCTGCGAGGGGATATTTGGATAGATTTCAGGATTTCGTTGGAAACGGGAATATCTTCATATAAAATCTCGACAGAAGCATTCTCAGAAACTTCTTTGTGATATGTGCATTCAAGTCACAGAGTTGAATATTCCCTTTCACAGAGTAGGTTTGAAACACTCTTTTTGTAGTATCTGGAAGTGGACATTTGGAGCGCCTTGACACCTACGGTGTAAAGGGAAATATCTTCCCATAAAAACTAGACAGAAGCAATCTCAGAATCTTCTTTGGGATATATGTACGCAGCTAATAGAGTTGAACCTTTCTATTGACAGAGCAGTTTTGAAACAGTCTTTCTGTGGAATCTGCAAGTGGATATTTGGATAGCTTGGAGGATTTCGTTGGAAACGGGATTACGTATAAAAAGTAGACGGCAGCATCCTCAGAAACTTCTTTGTGATGTGTGCATTCAAGTCACAGAGTTGAACATTCCCTTTCGTACAGCAGTTTTGAAACACTCTTTCTGTAGTATCTGGAAGTGAACATTAGGACAGTTTTCAGGTCTATGGTGAGAAAGGAAATATCTTCAAATAAAAACTAGACAGAAGCATTCTCATAAAATTGTTTGTGATATGTGAACTCAGCTAACAGACGTGGATCTTTCTTTTGATACAGCAGTTTTGAAAAACACTTTTTGTTGAATCTGCAAGTGGACATTTGGATAGATTTGAAGATTTCGTTGGAAACGGGAATATCTTCATATCAAATCTAGATAGAAGCATTCTCAGAAACGTCTTTGTGATGTTTGCATTCAACTCATAGAGTTGAACATTCCGTTTCAGAGAGCAGCTTTGAGGCACTCTTTTTGTAGTATGTGCAAGTGGATATTTGGAGCGCTCTGAGGCCTACGGTGAAAAAGCAAATATCTTCCCATAACAACTAGACAGAAACATTCTCAGAAACTCCTTTATGACGTATGCACTCACCTAACAGAGAAGAACCTTCCTTTTGACAGAGCAGTTTTGATACACTCTTTTTGTAGAATCTGCAAGTGGATATTTGGATAGCTGTGAAGATTTCGCTGGAAACGGGAATATCTTCCTATAAAATCTAGACAGAAGCATTCTCAGAAACTGCTCTGTGATGTCTGCATTCAAGTCACAGAGTTGAACATTGCCTTTGATAGAGCAGGTTTGAAACGCTCTTTTTGTAGTATATGGAAGTGGACGTTTCGGACGGTTTGAGGCCCATGGTGATAAAGGGAATATCTTCCCCTACAAGCTAGAAAGAAGAATTCTGTGAAACTTGTTTGTGATGTGTGTACTCAACTAACAGAGTTGAACCTTTCTTTTTACAGAGCAGTTTTGAAACACTCTTTTTGTAGAATCTGCGAGGGGATATTTGGATAGATTTCAGGATTTCGTTGGAAAGGGGAATATCTTCATATAAAATCTCGACAGAAGCATTCTCAGAAACTTCTTTGTGATATCTGCCTTTAAGTCACAGAGTTGAATATTCCCTTTCACAGAGTAGGTTTGAAACACTCTTTTTGTAGTATCTGGAAGTGGACATTTGGAGCGCCTTGACACCTACGGTGAAAAGGGTAATATCTTCCCATAAAAACTAGACAGAAGCAATCTCAGAATCCTCTTTGGGATATATGCACGCAGCTAACAGAGTTGAACCTTTCTATTGACAGAGCAGTTTTGAAACAGTCTTTCTGTGGTATCTGCAAGTGGATATTTGGATAGCTTGGAGGATTTTGTTGGAAACGGGATTACGTATAAAAAGTAGACAGCAGCATCCTCAGAAACTTCTTTGTGATGTGTACATTGGAGTCACAGAGTTGAACATTCCCTTTCGTACAGCAGTTTTGAAACACTCTTTCTGTAGTATCTGGAAGTGAACATTAGGACAGCTTTCAGGTCTATGGTGAGAAAGGAAATATCCTCAAGTAAAAACTAGACAGAAGCATTCTCATAAACTTGTTTGTGATGTGTGAACTCAGCTAACAGAGGTGGATCTTTCTTTTGATAGAGCAGTTCTGAAAAACACTTTTTGTTGAATCTGGAAGTGGATATTTGGATAGATTTGAAGATTTCGTTGGAAACGGGAATATCTTCATATCAAATCTAGACAGAAGCATTCTCAGAAACGTCTTTGTGATGTTTGCATTCAACTCATAGAGTTGAGCATTCACTTTCAGAGAGCAGCTTTGAAGCACTCTTTTTGTAGTATGTGCAAGTGGATATTTGGAGCGCTGTGAGGCCTACGGTGAAAAAGCAAATATCTTCCCATAACCACTAGACAGAAACATTCTCAGAAACTCCTTTATGACGTATGTACTCAACTAAGAGAGAAGAACCTTCCTTTTCACAGAGCAGTTTTGATACACTCTTTTTGTAGAATCTGCAAGTGGATATTTGGATAGCTGTGAAGATTTCGTTGGAAACGGGAATATCTTCCTATAAAATCTAGACAGAAGCATTCTCAGAAACTACTCTGTGATGTCTGCATTCAAGTCACAGAGTTGAACATTGCCTTTCCTAGAGCAGGTTTGAAACGCTCTTTTTGTAGTATATGGAAGTGGACGTTTCGGATGGTTTGAGGCCCATGGTGATAAAGGGAATATCTTCCCCTACAAGCTAGAAAGAAGCATTCTGTGAAACTTGTTTGTGATGTGTGTACTCAACTAACAGAGTTGAACCTTACTTTTTACAGAGCAGTTTTGAAACACTCTTTTTGTAGAATCTGCGAGGGGATATTTGGATAGATTTCAGGATTTCGTTCGAAACGGGAATATCTTCATATAAAATCTCGACAGAAGCATTCTCAGAAACTTCTTTGTGATATGTGCATTCAAGTCACAGAGTTGAATATTCCCTTTCACAGAGTAGGTTTGAAACACTCTTTTTGTAGTATTTGGAAGTGGACATTTGGAGCGCCTTGACGCCTACGGTGAAAAGGGAAATATCTTCCATAAAAACTAGACAGAAAGCAATCTCAGAATCTTCTTTGGGATATATGCATGCAGCTAACAGAGTTGAACCTTTCTATTGACAGAGCAGTTTTGAAACAGTCTTTCTGTGGAATCTGCAAGTGGATATTTGGATAGCTTGGAGGATTTCGTTGGAAACGGGATTACGTATAAAAAGTAGACAGAGCATTCTCAGAAACTGCTCTGTGATGTCTGCATTCAAGTCACAGAGTTGAACATTCCCTTTCGTACAGCAGTTTTGAAACACTCTTTCTGTAGTATCTGGAAGTGAACTTTAGGAGAGCTTTCAGGTCTATAGTGAGAAAGGATATATCTTCAAATAAAAACTAGACAGAAGCATTCTGATAAACTTGTTTGTGAAGTGTGATCTCAGCTAACAGAGGTGGATCTTTCTTTTGATAGAGCAGTTCTGAAAAACACTTTGTTGAATCTGCAAGTGGACATTTGGATAGATTTGAAGATTTCGTTGGAAACGGGAATATCGTCATAAATCTAGACAGAAACATTCTCAGAAACGTCTTTGTGATGTTTGCATTCAACTCATAGAGTTGAACATTCCCTTTCAGAGAGCAGCTTTGAAGCACTCTTTTTGTAGCATGTGCAAGTGGACATTTGGAGCGCCCTGAGGCCTACGGGGAAAAAGCAAATATCTTCCCATAACCACTAGACAGAAACATTCTCAGAAACTCCTTTATGACGTATGCACTCACCTAACAGAGAAGAACCTTCCTTTTGACTGAGCAGTTTGATACACTCTTTTTGTAGAATCTGCAAGTGGATATTTGGATAGCTGTGAAGATTTCGTTGGAAACGGGAATATCTTCCTATAAAATCTAGACAGAAGCATTCTCAGAAACTACTCTGTGATGTCTGCATTCAAGTCACAGAGTTGAACATTGCCTTTCATAGAGCAGGTTTGAAACGCTCTTTTTGTAGTATATGGAAGTGGATGTTTCGGACGGTTGGAGGCCCATGGTGATGAAGGGAATATCTTCCCCTACAAGCTAGAAAGAGCATTCTGTGAAACTTGTTTGTGATGTGTGTACTCAACTAACAGAGTTGAACCTTTCTTTTTACAGAGCAGTTTTGAAACACTCTTTTTGTAGAATCTGCGAGGGGATATTTGGATAGATTTCAGGATTTCGTTGGAAACGGGAATATCTTCATATAAAATCTCGACAGAAGCATTCTCAGAAACTTCTTTGTGATATCTGCATTCAAGTCACAGAGTTGAATATTCCCTTTCACAGAGTAGGTTTGAAACACTCTTTTTGTAGTATCTGGAAGTGGACATTTGGAGCGCCTTGACGCCTACAGTGAAAAGGGAAATATCTTCCCATAAAAACTAGACAGAAGCAATCTCAGAATCTTCTTTGGGATATATGCACGCAGCTAACAGAGTTGAACCTTTCTATTGACAGAGCAGTTTTGAAACAGTCTTTCTGTGGAATCTGCAAGTGGATATTTGGATAGCTTTGAGGATTTCGTTGGAAACGGGATTACGTATCAAAAGTAGACAGCAGCATCCTCAGAAAACTTCTTTGTGATGTGTGCATTCAAGTCACAGAGTTGAACATTCCCTTTCGTACAGCAGTTTTGAAACACTCTTTCTGTAGTATCTGGAAGTGAACATTAGGACAGCTTTCAGCTCTATGGTGAGAAAGGAAATATCTTCAAATAAAAACTAGACAGAAGCATTCTCATAAACTTGTTTCTGATGTGTGAACTCAGCTAACAGAGGTGGATCTTTCTTTTGATAGAGCAGTTCTGAAAAACACTTTTTGTTGAATCTGCAAGTGGACATTTGGATAGATTTGAAGATTTTCTTTGGAAACGGGAATATCTTCATATCAAATCTAGACAGAAGCATTCTCAGAAACGTCTTTGTGATGTTTGCATTCAACTCATAGAGTTGAACATTCCGTTTCAGAGACCAGCTTTGAAGCACTCTTTTTGTAGTATGTGCAAGTGGATATTTGGAGCGCTCTGAGGCCTACGGTGAAAAAGCAAATATCTTCCCATAACGACTAGACAGAAACATTCTCAGAAACTGCTTTATGACGTATGCACTCACCTAACAGAGAAGAACCTTCCTTTTGACAGAGCAGTTTTGATACACTCCTTTTGTAGAATCTGCAAGTGGATATTTGGATAGCTGTGAAGATTTCGTTGGAAACGGGAATATCTTCCTATAAAATCTAGACAGAAGCATTCTCAGAAACAGCTCTGTGATGTCTGCATTCAAGTCACAGAGTTGAACATTGCCTTTCATAGAGCAGGTTTGAAACGCTCTTTTTGTAGTGTATGGAAGTGGACGTTTCGGACGGTTTGAGACCCATGGTGATAAAGGGAATATATTCCCCTACAAGCTAGAAAGAAGCATTCTGTGAAACTTGTTTGTGATGTGTGTACTCAACTAACAGAGTTGAACCTTTCTTTTTACAGAGCAGTTTTGAAACACTCTTTTTGTAGAATCTGCGAGGGGATATTTCGATAGATTTCAGGATTTCGTTGGAAACGGGAATATCTTCATATAAAATCTCGACAGAAGCATTCTCAGAAACTTCTTTGTGATATGTGCATTCAAGTCACAGAGTTGAATATTCCCTTTCACAGAGTAGGTTTGAAACACTCTTTTTGTAGTATCTGGAAGTGGACATTTGGAGCGCCTTGACACCTACGGTGAAAAGGGAAATATCTTCCCATAAAAACTAGAGAGAAGCAATCTCAGAATCGTCTTTGGGATATATGCACGCAGCTAACAGAGTTGAACCTTTCTATTGAGAGAGCACTTTTGAAACAGTCTTTCTGTGGAATCTGCAAGTGGATATTTGGATAGCTTGGAGGATTTCGTTGGAAACGGGATTACGTATAAAAAGTAGACAGCAGCATCCTCAGAAACTTCTTTGTGATGTGTGCATTCAAGTCACAGAGTTGAACATTCCCTTTCGTACTGCAGTTTTGAAACACTCTTTCTGTAGTATCTGGAAGTGAACATTAGGACAGCTTTCAGGTCTATGGTGAGAAAGGAAATATCTTCAAATAAAAACTAGACAGAAGCATTCTCATCAACTTGTTTGTGATGTGTGAACTCAGCTAACAGAGGTGGATCTTTCTTTTGATAGAGCAGTTCTGAAAAACACTTTTTGTTGAATCTGCAAGTGGACATTTGGATAGATTTGAAGATTTCGTTGGAAACGGGAATATCTTCATATCAAATCTAGACAGAAGCATTCTCAGAAACGTCTTTGTGATGTTTGCATTCAACCCATAGAGTTGAACATTCCGTTTCAGAGAGCAGCTTTGAAGCACTCTTTTTGTAGTATGTGCAAGTGGATATTTGGAGCGCTCTGAGGCCTAAGGTGAAAAAGCAAATATCTTCCCATAACCACTAGACAGAAACATTCTCAGAAACTCCTTTATGACGTATGTACTCAACTAACAGAGAAGAACCTTCCTTTTGACAGAGCAGTTTTGATACACTCTTTTTGTAGAATCTGCAAGTGGATATTTGGATAGCTGTGAAGATTTCGTTGGAAACGGGAATATCTTCCTATAAAATCCAGACAGAAGCATTCTCAGAAACTGCTCTGTGATGTCTGCATTCAAGTCACAGAGTTGAACATTGCCTTTCATAGAGTAGGTTTGAAACGCTCTTTTTGTAGTATATGGAAGTAGACTTTTTGGACGGTTTGAGGCCCATGGTGATAAAGGGAATATCTTCCCCTACAAGCTAGAAAGAAGCATTCTGTGAAACTTGTTTGTGATGTGTGTACTCAACTAACAGAGTTGAACCATTCTTTTTACAGAGCAGTTTTGAAACACTCTTTTTGTAGAATCTGCGAGGGGATATTTGGATAGATTTCAGGATTTTGTTGGAAACGGGAATATCTTCATATAAAATCTCGACAGAAGCATTCTCAGAAACTTCTTTGTGATATGTGCATTCAAGTCACAGAGTTGAATATTCCCTTCCACAGAGTAGGTTTGAAACACTCTTTTTGTAGTATCTGGAAGTGGACATTTGGAGCGCCTTGACGCCTACGGTGAAAAGGGAAATATCTTCCCATAAAAACTAGACAGAAGCAATCTCAGAATCTTCTTTGGGATATATGCATGCAGCTAACAGAGTTGAACCTTTCTATTGACAGAGCAGTTTTGAAACAGTCTTTCTGTGGAATCTGCAAGTGGATATTTGGATAGCTTGGAGGATTTCGTTGGAAACGGGTTTACGTATAAAAAGTAGACAGCAGCATCCTCAGAAACTTCCTTGTGATGTGTGCATTCAAGTCACAGAGTTGCACATTCCCTTTCGTACAGCAGTTTTGAAACACTCTTTCTGTAGTATCTGGAAGTGAACATTAGGACAGCTTTCAGGTCTATGGTGAGAAAGGAAATATCTTCAAATAAAAACTAGACAGAAGCATTCTCATAAACTTGTTTGTGATGTGTGAACTCAGCTAACAGAGGCGGATCTTTCTGTTGATAGAGCAGTTCGGAAAAACACTTTTTGTTGAATCTGCAAGTGGACATTTGGATAGATTTGAAGATTTCGTTGGAAACGGGAATATCTTCACATCAAATCTAGACAGAAGCATTCTCAGAAACGTCTTTGTGATGTTTGCATTCAACTCATAGAGTTGAACATTCCGTTTCAGAGAGCAGCTTTGAAGCACTCTTTTTGTAGTATGTGCAAGTGGATATTTGGAGCGCTCTGAGGTCTACGGTGAAAAAGCAAATATCTTCCCATAACCACTAGACAGAAACATTCTCAGAAACTCCTTTATGACGTATGTACTCAACTAACAGAGAAGAACCTTCCTTTTGACAGAGCAGTTTTGATACACTCTTTTTGTAGAATCTGCAAGTGGATATTGGGATAGCTGTGAAGATTTCGTTGGAAACGGTAATATCTTCCTATAAAATCTAGACAGAAGCATTCTCAGAAACTGCTCTGTGATGTCTGCATTCAAGTCACAGAGTTGAACATTGCCTTTCATGGAGCAGGTTTGAAACGCTCTTTTTGTAGTATATGGAAATGGACGTTTCGGACGGTTTGAGGCCCATGGTGATAAAGGGAATATCTTCCCCTACAAGCTAGAAAGAAGCATTCTGTGAAACTTGTTTGTGATGTGTGTACTCAACTAACAGAGTTGAACCTTTCTTTTTACAGAGCAGTTTTGAAACACTCTTTTTGTAGAATCTGCGAGGGGATATTTGGATAGATTTCAGGATTTCGTTGGAAACGGGAATATCTTCACATAAAATCTCGACAGAAGCATTCTCAGAAACTTCTTTGTGATATGTGCATTCAAGTCACAGAGTTGAATATTCCCTTTCATAGAGTAGGTTTGAAACACTCTTTTTGTAGTATCTGGAAGTGGACATTTTGAGCGCCTTGACGCCTACGGTGAAAAGGGAAATATCTTCCCATAAAAACTAGACAGAAGCAATCTCAGCAATCTTCTTTGGGATATATGCACGCAGCTAACAGAGTTGAACCTTTCTATTGACAGAGCAGTTTTGAAACAGTCTTTCTGTGGAATCTGCAAGTGGATATTTGGATAGCTTGGAGGATTTCGTTGGAAACGGGATTACGTATAAAAAGTAGACAGCAGCATCCTCAGAAACTTCTTTGTGATGTGTGCATTCAAGTCACAGAGTTGAACATTCCCTTTCGTACAGCAGTTTTGAAACACTCTTTCTGTAGTATCTGCAAGTGAACATTAGGACAGTTTTCAGGTCTATGGTGAGAAAGGAAATATCTTCAAATAAAAACTAGACAGAAGCATTCTCATAAACTTGTTTGTGATGTGTGAACTCAGCTAACAGAGGTGGATCTTTCTTTTGATAGAGCAGTTCTGAAAAACACGTTTTGTTGAATCTGCAAGTGGACATTTGGATAGATTTGAAGATGTCGTTGGAAACGGGAATATCTTCATATCAAATCTAGACAGAAGCATTCTCAGAAACGTCTTTGTGATGTTTGCATTCAACTCATAGAGTTGAACATTCCGTTTCAGAGAGCAGCTTTGAAGCACTCTTTTTGTAGTATGTGCAAGTGGATATTTGGAGCGCTCTGAGGCCTACGGTGAAAAAGCAAATATCTTGCCCATAACCACTAGACAGAAACATTCTCAAAAACTCCTTTATGACGTATGCACTCACCTAACAGAAAAGAACCTTCCTTTTGACAGAGCAGTTTTGATACACTCTTTTTGTAGAATCTGCAAGTGGATATTTGGATAGCTGTGAAGATTTCGTTGGAAACGGGAATATCTTCCTATAAAATCTAGACAGAAGCATTCTCAGAAACTGCTCTGTGATGTCTGCATTCAAGTCACAGAGTTGAACATTGCCTTTCATGGAGCAGATTTGAAACGCTCTTTTTGTAGTATATGGAAGTAGACGTTTCGGACGGTTTCAGGCCCATGGTGATAAAGGGAATATCTTCCCCTACAAGCTAGAAAGAAGCATTACTGTGAAACTTGTTTGTGATGTGTGTACTCAACTAACAGAGTTGAACCTTTCTTTTTACAGAGCAGTTTTGAAACACTCTTTTTGTAGAATCTGCGAGGGGATATTTGGATACATTTCAGCATTTCGTTGGAAACGGGAATATCTTCATATAAAATCTCGACAGAAGCATTCTCAGAAACTTCCTTGTGATATGTGCATTCAGGTCACAGAGTTGAATATTCCCTTTCACAGAGTAGGTTTGAAACACTCTTTTTGTAGTATCTGGAAGTGGACATTTGGAGCGCCTTGACACCTACGGTGAAAAGGGAAATATCTTCCAATAAAAACTAGACAGAAAGGAATCTCAGAATCTTCTTTGGGATATATGCACGCAGCTAACAGATTTGAACCTTTCTATTGACAGAGCAGTTTTGAAACAGTCTTTCTGTGGAATCTGCAAGTGGATATTTGGATAGCTTGGAGGATTTCGTTGGAAACGGGATTACGTATAAAAAGTAGACAGCAGCATCCTCAGAAACATCCTTGTGATGTGTGCATTCAAGTCACAGAGTTGAACATTCCCTTTCGTACAGCAGTTTTGAAACACTCTTTCTTTGTATCTGGAAGTGAACTTTAGGACAGCTTTCAGGTCTATAGTGAGAAAGGATATATCTTCAAATAAAAACTAGACAGAAACATTTTCATAAACTTGTTTGTGATGTGTGAACTCAGCTAACAGAGGTGGATCTTTCTTTTGATAGAGCACTTCTGAAAAACACTTTTTGTTGAATCTGCAAGTGGACATTTGGATAGATTTGAAGATTTCGTTGGAAACGGGAATATCTTCATATCAAATCTAGACAGAAGCATTCTCAGAAACGTCTTTGCGATGTTTGCATTCAACTCATAGAGTTGAACATTCCGTTTCAGAGAGCAGCTTTGAAGCACTCTTTTTGTAGCATGTGCAAGTGGACATTTGGAGCGCCCTGAGGCCTACGGGGAAAAAGCAAATATCTTCCCATAACCACTAGACAGAAACATTCTCAGAAAGTTCTTTATGACGTATGTACTCAACTAGCAGAGAAGAACTTTCCTTTTGACAGAGCATTTCTGATACACTCTTTTTGTACTATCTGCAAGTGGATATTTGGATAGCTGTGAAGATTTCGTTGGAAACGGGAATATCTTCCTATAAAGTCTGGACAGAAGCATTCTCAGAAACTGCTCTGTGATGTCTGCATTCAAGTCACAGAGTTGAACATTGCCTTTCATAGAGCAGGTTTGAAACGCTCTTTTTGTAGTATATGGAAGTGGATGTTTCGGACGGTTGGAGGCCCATGGTGATAAAGGGAATATCTTCCCTACAAGCTAGAAAGAAGCATTCTGTGAAACTTGTTTGTGATGTGTGTAGTCAAGTAACAGAGTTGAACCTTTCTTTTTACAGAGCAGTTTTGAAACACTCTTTTTGTAGAATCTGCGAGGGGATATTTGGATAGATTTCAGGATTTCGTTGGAAACGGGAATATCTTCATATAAAATCTCGACAGAAGCATTCTCAGAAACTTCTTTGTGATATGTGCATTCAAGTCACAGAGTTGAATATTCCCTTTCACAGAGTAGGTTGGAAACACTCTTTTTGTAGTATCTGGAAGTGGACATTTGGAGCGCCTTGACACCTACGGTGAAAAGGGAAATATCTTCCCATTAAAAACTAGACAGAAGCAATCTCAGAATCTTCTTTGGGATATATGCACGCAGCTAACAGAGTTGTACCTTTCTATTGACAGAGCACTTTTGAAACAGTCTTTCTGTGGAATCTGCAAGTGGATATTTGGATAGCTTGGAGGATTTCGTTGGAAACGGGATTACATATAAAAAGTAGACAGCAGCATCCTCAGGTAACTTCTTTGTGATGTGTGCATTCAAGTCACAGTGTTGAACATTCCCTTCCGTACAGCAGTTTTGAAACACTCTTTCTGTAGTATCTGGAAGTGAACATTAGGACAGCTTTCAGGTTTATGGTGAGAAAGGAAATATCTTCAAATAAAAACTAGACAGAAGCATTCTCATAAACTTGTTTGTGATGTGTGAACTCAGCTAACACACGTGGATCTTTCTTTTGATAGAGCAGTTCTGAAAAACACTTTTGTTGAATCTGCAAGTGGACATTTGGATAGATTTGAAGATTTCGTTGGAAACGGGAATATCTTCATATCAAATCTAGACAGAAAGCATTCTCGGAAACGTCTTTGTCATGTTTGCATTCAACTCATAGAGTTGAACATTCCGTTTCAGAGAGCAGCTTTGAAGCACTCTTTTTGTAGTATGTGCAAGGGGATATTTGGAGCGCTCTGAGGCCTAAGGTGAAAAAGCAAATATCTTCCCATAACCACTAAACAGGAAACATTCTCCGAAACTTCTTTATGACGTATGTACTCAACTAGCAGAGAAGAACTTTCCTTTTGACAGAGCATTTTCGATACACTCTTTTTGTACTATCTGCAAGTGGATATTTGGATAGCTGTGAAGATTTCGTTGGAAACGGGAATATCTTCCTATAAAGTCTGGACAGAAGCATACTCAGAAACTGCTCTGCGATGTCTGCATTCAAGTCACAGAGTTGAACATTGCCTTTCCTAGAGCAGGTTTGAAATGCTCTTTTTGTAGTATATGGAAGTGGACGTTTCGGACGGTTTGAGGCCCATGGTGATAAAGGGAATATCTTCCCCTACAAGCCAGAAAGAAGGATTCTGTGAAACTTGTTTGTGATGTGTGTACTCAACTAACAGAGTTGAACCTTTCTTTTTACAGAGCAGTTTTGAAACACTCTTTTTGTAGAATCTGCGAGGGGATATTTGGATAGATTTCAGGATTTCGTTGGAAACGGGAATATCTTCATATAAAATCTCGACAGAAGCATTCTCAGAAACTACTTTGTGATATGTGCATTCAAGTCACAGAGTTGAATATTCCCTTTCACAGAGTAGGTTTGAAACACTCTTTTTGTAGTATCTGGAAGTGGACATTTGGAGCGCCTCGACGCCTACGGTGAAAAGGGAAATATCTTCCCATAAAAACTAGACAGAAGCAATCTCAGAATCTTCTTTGGCATATATGCACGCAGCTAACAGAGTTGAACCTTTCTATTGACAGAGCAGTTTTGAAACAGTCTTTCTGTGGAATCTGCAAGTGGATATTTGGATAGCTTGGAGGATTTCGTTGGAAACGGGATTACGTATAAAAAGTAGACAGCAGCATCCTCAGAAACATCCTTGTGATGTGTGCATTCAAGTCACAGAGTTGAACATTCCCTTTCGTACAGCAGTTTTGAAACACTCTTTCTGTAGTATCTGGAAGTGAACTTTAGGAAAGCTTTCAGGTCTATAGTGAGAAAGGATATATCTTCAAATAAAAACTAGACAGAAGAATACTGATAAACTTGTTTGTGAAGTGTGAACTCAGCTAACAGTGGTGGATCTTTCTTTTGATAGAGCAGTTTTGAAAAACACTTTGTTGAATCTGCAAGTGGACATTTGGATAGATTTGAAGATTTCGTTGGAAACGGGAATATCTTCATATCAAATCTAGACAGAAGCATTCTCAGAAACGTCTTTGTGATGGTTGCATTCAACTCATAGAGTTGAACATTCCGTTTCAGAGAGCAGCTTTGAAGCACTCTTTTTGTAGTATGTTCAAGTGGATATTTGGAGCGCTCTGAGGCCTACGGTGAAAAAGCAAATATCTTCCCATAACCACTAGACAGAAACATTCTCAGAAACTCCTTTATGACGTATGCACTCACCTAACAGAGAAGAACCTTCCTTTTGACAGAGCAGTTTTGATACACTCTTTTTGTAGAATCTGCAAGTGGATATTTGGATAGCTGTGAAGATTTCGTTGGAAACGGGAATATCTTCCTATAAAAACTAGACAGAAGCATTCTCAGAAACTGCTCTGTGATGTCTGCATTCAAGTCACAGAGCTGAACATTGCCTTTCATAGAGCAGGTTTGAAACGCTCTTTTTGTAGTATATGGAAGTGGACGTTTCGGACGGTTTGAGGCCCATGGTGATAAAGGGAATATCTTCCCCTACAAGCTAGAAAGAAGCATTCTGTGAAACTTGTTTGTGATGTGTGTACTCAAGTAACAGAGTTGAACCTTTCTTTTTACAGAGCAGTTTTGAAACACTCTTTTTGTAGAATCTGCGAGGGGATATTTGGATAGATTTCAGGATTTCGTTGGAAACGGGAATATCTTCATATAAAATCTCAACAGAAGCATTCTCAGAAACTTCTTTGTGATATCTGCATTCAAGTCACAGAGTTGAATATTCCCTTTCACAGAGTAGGTTTGAAACACTCTTTTTATAGTATCTGGAATTGGACATTTGGAGCGCCTTGACGCCTACGGTGAAAAGGGAAATATCTTCCCATAAAAACTAGACAGAAGCAATCTCAGAATCTTCTTTGGGATATATGCACGCAGCTAACAGAGTTTAACCTTTCTATTGACAGAGCAGTTTTGAAACAGTCTTTCTGTGGAATCTGCAAGTGGATATTTGGATAGCTTGGAGGATTTCGTTGGAAACGGGATTACGTATAAAAAGTAGACAGCAGCATCCTCAGAAACTTCTTTGTGATGTGTGCATTCAAGTCACAGAGTTGAACATTCCCTTTCGTGCAGCAGTTTTGAAACACTCTTTCTGTAGTATCTGGAAGTGAACATTAGGACAGCTTTCAGGTCTATGGTGAGAAAGGAAATATCTTCAAATAAAAACTAGACAGGAGCATTCTCATAAACTTGTTTGTGATGTGTGAACTCAGCTAACAGAGGTGGATCTTTCTTTTGATAGAGCAGTTCGGAAAAACACTTTTTGTTGAATCTGCAAGTGGACATTTGGATAGATTTGAAGATTTCGTTGGAAACGGGAATATCTTCATATCAAATCTAGACAGAAACATTCTCAGAAACGTCTTTGTGATGTTTGCCTTCAACTCATAGAGTTGAACATTCCCTTTCAGAGAGCAGCTTTGAAGCACTCTTTTTGTAGCATGTGCAAGTGGACATTTGGAGCGCCCTGAGGCCTACGGGGAAAAAGCAAATATCTTCCCATAACCACTAGACAGAAACATTCTCAGAAACTGCTTTATGACGTATGCACTCACCTAACAGAGAAGAACCTTCCTTTTGACAGAACAGTTTTGATACACGCTTTTTGTAGAATCTGCAAGTGGATATTTGGATAGCTGCGAAGATTTCGTTGGAATCGGGAATATCTTCCTATAAAATCTAGACAGAAAGCATTCTCAGAAACTGCTCTGTGATGTCTGCATTCAAGTCACAGAGTTGAACATTGCCTTTCATAGAGCAGGTTTGAAACGCTCTTTTTGTAGTATATGGAAGTAGACGTTTCGGACGGTTTCAGGCCCATGGTGATAAAGGGAATATCTTCCCCTACAAGCTAGAAAGAAGCATTCTGTGAAACTTGTTTGTGATGTGTGTACTCAACTAACAGAGTTGAACCTTTCCTTTTACAGAGCAGTTTTGAAACACTCTTTTTGTAGAATCTGCGAGGGGATATTTGGATAGATTTCAGGATTTCGTTGGAAACGGGAATAACTTCATATAAAATCTCGACAGAAGCATTCTCAGAAACTTCTTTGTGATATGTGCATTCAAGTCACAGAGTTGAATATTCCCTTTCACAGAGTAGGTTTGAAACACTCTTTTTGTAGTATCTGGAAGTGGACATTTGGAGCGCCTTGATGCCTACGGTGAAAAGGAAAATATCTTCTCATAAAAAGTAGACAGAAGCAATCTCAGAATCTTCTTTCGGATATATGCACGCAGCTAACAGAGTTGAACCTTTCTATTGACAGAGCAGTTTTGAAACAGTCTTTCTGTGGAATCTGCAAGTGGATATTTGGATAGCTTGGAGGATTTCGTTGGAAACGGGATTACGTATAAAAATTAGACAGCAGCATCCTCAGAAACATCCTTGTGATGTGTGCATTCAAGTCACAGAGTTGAACATTACCTTTCGTACAGCAGTTTTGAAACACTCTTTCTGTAGTATCTGGAAGTGAACTTTAGGAGAGCTTTCAGGTCTATAGTGAGAAAGGATATATCTTCAAATAAAAACTAGACAGAAGCATTCTCATAAACTTGTTTGTGATGTGTGAACTCAGCTAACAGAGGTGGATCTTTCTTTTGATAGAGCAGTTCTGAAAAACACTTTTTGTTGAATCTGCAAGTGGACATTTGGATAGATTTGAAGATTTCGTTGGAAACGGGAATATCTTCATATCAAATCAAGACAGAAGCATTCTCAGAAACGTCTTTGTGATGTTTGCATTCAACTCATAGAGTTGAACATTCCCTTTCAGAGAGCAGCTTTGAAGCACTCTTTTTGTAGTATGTGCAAGTTGACATTTGGAGCGCTTTGAGGCCTAAGGGGAAAAAGCAAATATCTTCCCATAACCACTAGACAGAAACATTCTCAGAAACTCCTTTATGACGTATGCACTCACCTAACAGAGAAGAACCTTCCTTTTGACAGAGCAGTTTTGATACACTCTTTTTGTAGAATCTGCAAGTGGATATTTGGATAGATGTGAAGGTTTCGTTGGAAACGGAAATATCTTCCTATAAAATCTAGACAGAAGCATTCTCAGAAACTGCTCTGTGATGTCTGCATTCAAGTCACAGAGTTGAACATTGCCTTTCATAGAGCAGGTTTGAAACGCTCTTTTTGTAGTATATGGAAGTAAACGTTTCGGACGGTTTGAGGCCCATGGTGATAAAGGGAATATCTTCCCCTACAAGCTAGAAAGAAGCATTCTGTGAAACTTGTTTGTGATGTGTGTACTCAATTAACAGAGTTGAACCTTTCTTTTTACAGAGCAGTTTTGAAACACTCTTTTTGTAGAATCTGCGAGGGGATATTTGGATAGATTTCAGGATTTTGTTGGAAACGGGAATATCTTCATATAAAATCTCGACAGAAGCATTCTCAGAAACTTCTTTGTGATATCTGCATTCAAGTCACAGAGGTGAATATTCCCTTTCACAGAGTAGGTTTGAAACACTCTTTTTGTAGTATCTGGAAGTGGACATTTGGAGCGCCTTGACGCCTATGGTTAAAAGGGAAATATCTTCCCATAAAAACTAGACAGAAGCAATCTCAGAATTTTCTTTGGGATATATGCACACAGCTAACAGAGTTGAACTTTTCTATTGACATAGCAGTTTTGAAACAGTCTTTCTGTGGAATCTGCAAGTGGATATTTGGATAGCTTGGAGGATTTCGTTGGAAACGGGATTACGTATAAAAAGTAGACAGCAGCATCCTCAGAAGCTTCTTTGTGATGTGTGCATTCAAGTCACAGAGTTGAATATTCCCTTTCGTACAGCAGTTTTGAAACACTCTTTCTGTAGTATCTGGAAGTGAACATTAGGACAGCTTTCAGGTCTATGGTGAGAAAGGAAATATCTTCAAATAAAAACTAGACAGAAGCATTCTCATAAACTTGTTTGTGATGTCTGAACTCAGCTAACAGAGGTGCATCTTTCTTTTGATAGAGCAGTTCTGAAAAACACTTTTTGTTGAATCTGCAAGTGGACATTTGGATAGATTTGAAGATTTCGTTGGAAACGGGAATATCTTCATATCAAATCTAGACAGAGGCATTCTCAGAAACGTCTTTGTGATGTTTGCATTCAACTCATAGAGTTGAACATTCCCTTTCAGAGAGCAGCTTTGAAGCACTCTTTTTGTAGTATGTGCAAGGGGATATTTGGAGCGCTCCTGAGGCCTAAGGTGAAAAAGCAAATATCTTCCCATAACCACTAGACAGAAACATTCTCAGAAACTCCTTTATGACGTATGCACTCACCTAACAGAGAAGAACCTTCCTTTTGACAGAGCAGTTTTGATACACTCTTTTTGTAGAATCTGCAAGTGGATATTTGGATACCTGTGAAGATTTCGCTGGAAACGGGAATATCTTCCTATAAAATCTAGACAGAAGCATTCTCAGAAACTGCTCTGTGATGTCTGCATTCAAGTCACAGAGTTGAACATTGCCTTTCATAGAGCAGGTTTGAAACGCTCTTTTTGTAGTATATGGAAGTGGACGTTTCGGACGGTTTGAGGCCCGTGGTGATAAAGGGAATATCTTCCCCTACAAGCTAGAAAGAAGCATTCTGTGAAACTTGTTTGTGATGTGTGTACTCAACTAACAGAGTTGAACCTTTCTTTTTACAGAGCAGTTTTGAAACCCTCTTTTTCTAGAATCTGCGAGGGGATATTTGGATAGATTTCAGGATTTCGTTGGAAACGGGAATATCTTCATATAAAATCTCGACAGAAGCATTCTCAGAAACTTCTTTGTGATATGTGCATTCAAGTCACAGAGTTGAATATTCCCTTTCACAGAGTAGGTTTGAAACATTCTTTTTGTAGTATCTGGAAGTGGACATTTGGAGCGCCTTGACGCCTACGGTGAAAAGGGAAATATCTTCCCATAAAAACTAGACAGAAGTAATCTCAGAAACTTCTTTGGGATATATGCACGCAGCTAACAGAGTTGAACCTTTCTATTGACAGAGCAGTTTTGAAACAGTCTTTCTGTGGAATCTGCAAGTGGATATTTGGATAGCTTGGAGGATTTCGTTGGAAACGGGATTACGTATAAAAAGTAGACAGCAGCATCCTCAGAAACTTCTTTGTGATGTGTGCATTCAAGTCACAGAGTTGAACATTCCCTTTCGTACAGCAATTTTGAAACACTCTTTCTGTAGTATCTGGAAGTGAACATTAGGACAGCTTTCAGGTCTATGGTGAGAAAGGAAATATCTTCAAATAAAAACTAGACAGAAGCATTCTCATAAACTTGTTTGTGATGTGTGAACTCAGCTAACAGAGGTGGATCTTTCTTTTGATACAGCAGTTTTGAAAAACACTTTTTGTTGAATCTGCAAGTGGACATTTGGATAGATTTGAAGATTTCGTTGGAAACGGGAATATCTTCATATCAAATCTAGACAGAAGCATTCTCGGAAACGTCTTTGTGATGTTTGCATTCAACTCATAGAGTTGAACATTCCGTTTCAGAGAGCAGCTTTGAGGCACTCATTTTGCAGTATGTGCAAGTGGATATTTGGAGCTCTCTGAGGCCTTCGGTGAAAAAGCAAATATCTTCCCATAACCACTAGACAGAAACTTTCTCAGAAACTCCTTTATGACGTATGCACTCACCTAACAGAGAAGAACCTTCCTTTTGACAGAGCAGTTTTGATACACTCTTTTTGTAGAATCTGCAAGTGGATATTTGGATAGCTGTGAAGATTTTGTTGGAAACGGGAATATCTTCCTATAAAATCTAGACAGAATCATTCTCAGAAACTGCTCTGTGATGTCTGCATTCAAGTCACAGAGTTGAACATTGCCTTTCATAGAGCAGGTTTGAAACGCTCTTTTTGTAGTATATGGAAGTGGACGTTTCGGACGGTTTGAGGCCCATGGTGATAAAGGGAATATCTTCCCCTACAAGCTAGAAAGAAGCATTCTGTGAAACTTGTTTGTGATGTGTGTACTCAACTAACAGAGTTGAACCTTTCTTTTTACACAGCAGTTTTGAAACACTCTTTTTGTAGAATCTGCGAGGGGATATTTGGATAGATTTCAGGATTTCGTTGGAAACGGGAATATCTTCATATAAAATCTCGACAGAAGCATTCTCAGAAACTTCCTTGTGATATGTGCATTCAAGTCACAGAGTTGAATATTCCCTTTCACAGAGTAGGTTTGAAACACTCTTTTTGTAGTATCTGGAAGTGGACATTTGGAGCGCCTTGATGCCCACGGTGAAAAGGGAAATATCTTCCCATCAAAACTAGACAGAAGCAATCTCAGAATCTTCTTTGGGATATATGCACGCAGCTAACAGAGTTGAACCTTTCTATTGACAGAGCAGTTTTGAAACAGTCTTTCTGTGGAATCTGCAAGTGGATATTTGGATAGCTTGGAGGATTTCGTTGGAAACGGGATTACGTATAAAAAGTAGAACAGCAGCATCCTCAGAAACTTCTTTGTAATGTGTGCATTCAAGTCACAGAGTTGAACATTCCCTTTCGTACAGCAGTTTTGAAACACTCTTTCTGTAGTAACTGGAAGTGAACATTAGGACAGCTTTCAGGTCTATGGTGAGAAAGGAAATATCTTCCAATAAAAACTAGACAGAAGCATTCTCATAAACTTGTTTGTGATGTGTGAACTCAGCTAACAGAGGTGGATCTTTCTTTTGATAGAGCAGTTCTGAAAAACACTTTTTGTTGAATCTGCAAGTGGACATTTGGATAGATTTGAAGATGTCGTTGGAAACGGGAATATCTTCATATCAAATCTAGACAGAAGCATTCTCAGAAACTGGTTTGTGATGTTTGCATTCAACTCTTAGTGTTGAACACTCCCTTTCATAGAGCAGTTTTGAAACACTCTTTTTGTTGTATGTGGAAGTGGACATTTGGAGCGCTTTGAGAACTCTGGTGAAAAAGCAAATATCTTCCCATAAACACTAGACAGAAACATTCTCAGAAACTTCTTTATGAGGTATGTACTCAACTAGCAGAGAAGAACTTTCCTTTTGACAGAGCACTTTGGATACACACTTTTTGTAGTATCTGCAAGTGGATATTTGGATAGCTGTGAAGATTTCGTTGGAAACGGGAATATCTTCCTATAAAGTCTGGACAGAAGCATTCTCAGAAACTGCTCTGTGATGTCTGCATTCAAGTCACAGAGTTGAACATTGCCTTTCATAGAGCAGGTTTCAAACACTCTTTTTTTAGTATATGGCAGTGGACGATTCGGATGGTTTGAGGATGATGGTGATAAAGGAAATATCTTCCCCTACAAGCTAGAAAGAAGCATTCTGTGAAACTTGTTTGTGATGTGTGTACTCAACTAACAGAGTTGAACCTTTCTTTTTACAGAGCAGTTTTGAAACACTCTTTTTGTAGAATCTGAGAGGGGATATTTGGATACATTTCAGGATTTCGTTGGAAACGGGAATATCTTCATATAAAATCTCGACAGAAGCATTCTCAGAAACTTCTTTGTGATATCTGCATTCAAGTCACAGAGTTGAATATTCCCTTCCACAGAGTAGGTTTGAAACACTCTTTTTGTAGTATCTGGAAGTGGACATTTGGAGCTCCTTGACACCTACGGTGAAAAGGGAAATATCTTCCCATAAAAACTAGACAGAAGCAATCTCAGAATCTTCTTTGGGATATATGCACGCAGCTAACACAGTTGAACCTTTCTATTGAAAGAGCAGTTTAGAAACAGTCTTTCTGTGGAATCTGCAAGTGGATATTTGGATAGCTGTGAAGATTTCGTTGGAAACAGGAATATCTTCCTATAAAGGCTGGACAGAAGCATCCTCAGAAACTTCTTTGTGATGTGTGCATTCAAGTCACAGAGTTGAACATTCCCTTTCGTACAGCAGTTTTGAAACACTCTTTCTGTAGTATCTGGAAGTGAACATTAGGACAGCTTTCAGCTGTATGGTGAGAAAGGAAATATCTTCAAATAAAAACTAGACAGAAGCATTCTCATAAACTTGTTTGTGATGTGTGAACTCAGCTAACAGAGGTGGATCTATCTTTTGATAGAGCAGTTCTGAAAAACACTTTTTGTTGAATCTGCAAGTGGACATTTGGATAGTTTTGAAGATTTCGTTGGAAACGGGAATATCTTCATATCAAATCTAGACAGAAGCATTCTCAGAAACGTCTTTGTGATGTTTGCATTCAACTCATAGAGTTGAACATTCCGTTTCAGAGACCAGCTTTGAAGCACTCTTTTTGTAGTATGTGCAAGTGGATATTTGGTGCGCTCTGAGGCCTACGGTGAAAAAGCAAATATCTTCCCATAACCACTAGACAGAAACATTCTCAGAAACTCCTTTATGACGTATGCACTCACCTAACAGAGAAGAACCTTCCTTTTGACAGAGCAGTTTTGATACACGCTTTTTGTAGAATCTGCAAGTGGATATTTGGATAGCTGTGAAGATTTCGTTGGAAACGGGAATATCTTCCTATAAAATCTAGACAGAAGCATTCTCAGAAACTGCTCTGTGATATCTGCATTCAAGTCACAGAGTTGAACATTGCCTTTCATAGAGCAGGTTTGAAACACTCTTTTTTTAGTATATGGAAGTGGACGTTTCGGACGGTTTGAGGACCATGGTGATAAAGGAAATATCTTCCCCTACAAGCTAGAAAGAAGCATTGTGTGAAACTTGTTTGTGATGTGTGTACTCAACTAACAGAGCTGAACCTTTCTTTTTACAGAGCAGTTTTGAAACACTCTTTTTGTAGAATCTGCGAGGGGATATTTGGATAGATTTCAGGATTTCGTTGGAAACGGGAATATCTTCATATAAAATCTCGACAGAAGCATTCTCAGAAACATCTTTGTGATATGTGCATTCAAGTCACAGAGTTGAGTATTCCCTTTCACAGAGTAGGTTTGAAACACTCCTTTTGTAGTATCTGGAAGTGGACATTTGGAGCGCCTTGACACCTACTGTGAAAAGTGAAATATCTTCCCATAAAAACTAGACAGAAGCAATCTCAGAATTTTCTTTGGGATATATGCACACAGCTAACAGAGTTGAACCTTTCTATTGACATAGCAGTTTTGAAACAGTCTTTCTGTGGAATCTGCAAGTGGATATTTGGATAGCTTGGAGGATTTCGGTGGAAACGGGATTACGTATAAGAAGTAGACAGCAGCATCCTCAGAAACTTCTTTGTGATGTGTGCATTCATGTCACAGAGTTGAACATTCCCTTTCGTACAGCAGTTTTGAAACACTCTTTCTGTAGTATGTGGAAGTGAACATTAGGACAGCTTTCAGGTCTATGGTGAGAAAGGAAATATCTTCAAATAAAAACTAGACAGAAGCATTCTCATAAACTTGTTCGTGATGTGTGAACTCAGCTAACACACGTGGATCTTTCTTTTGATAGAGCAGTTCTGAAAAACACTTTTTGTTGAATCTGCAAGAGGACATTTGGATAGATTTGAAGATTTCGTTGGAAACGGGAATATCTTCATATCAAATCTAGACAGAAAGCATTCTCAGAAACGTCTTTGTGATGTTTGCATTCAACTCATAGAGTTGAACATTCCCTTTCAGAGAGCAGCTTTGAAGCACTCTTTTTGTAGCATTTGCAAGTGGACATTTGGAGCGCCCTGAGGCCTACGGGGAAAAAGCAAATATCTTCCCATAACCACTAGACAGAAACATTCTCAGAAACTCCTTTATGACGTATGCACTCACCTAACAGAAAAGAACCTTCCTTTTGACAGAGCAGGTTTGATACACTCTTTTTGTAGAATCTGCAAGTGGTTATTTGGATAGCTGTGAAGATTTCGTTGGAAACGGGAATATCTTCCTATAAAATCTAGACAGAAGCATTCTCAGAAACTGCTCTGTGATGTCTGCATTCAAGTCACAGAGTTGAACATTGCCTTTCATACAGCAGGTTTGAAACGCTCTTTTTGTAGTATATGGAAGTGGACATTTCGGACGGTTTGAGGACCATGGTGATAAAGGGGAATCTTCCCCTACAAGCTAGAAAGAAGCATTCTGTGAAACTTGTTTGTGATGTGTGTACTCAACTAACAGAGTTGAACCTTTCTTTTTACAGAGCAGTTTTGATACACTCTTTTTGTAGAATCTGCGAGGGGATATTTGGATACATTTCAGGATTTCGTTGGAAATGGGAATATCTTCATATAAAATATCGACAGAAGCATTCTCAGAAACTTCCTTGTGATATGTGCATTCAAGTCACAGAGTGGAATATTCCCTTTCACAGAGTAGGTTTGAAACACTCTTTTTGTAGTATCTGGAAGTGGACATTTGGAGCGCCTTGACGCCCACGGTGAAAAGGGAAATATCTTCCCATAAAAACTAGACAGAAGCAATCTCAGAAAATTCTTTGGGATATATGCACGCAGCTAACGGAGTTGAACATTTCTATTGACAGAGCAGTTTTGAAACAGTCGTTCTGTGGAATCTGCAAGTGGATATTTGGATAGCTTGGAGGATTTCGTTGGAAACGGGATTACGTATAAAAAGTAGACAGCAGCATCCTCAGAAACTTCTTTGTGATGTGTGCATTCAAGTCACAGAGTTGAACATTCCCTTTCGTACAGCAGTTTTGAAACACTCTTTCTGTAGTATCTGGAAGTGAACATTAGGACAGCTTTAAGCTCTATGGTGAGAAAGGAAATATCTTCAAATAAAAACTAGACAGAAGCATTCTCATAAACTTGTTTGTGATGTGTGAACTCAGCTAAGAGACGTGGATCTTTCTTTTGATAGAGCAGTTCTGAAAAACACTTTTTGTTGAATCTGCAAGTGGACATTTGGATAGATTTGAAGATTTCTTTGGAAACGGGAATATCTTCATATCAAATCTAGAGAGAAGCATTCTCAGAAACGTCTTTGTGATGTTTGCATTCAACTCATAGAGTTGAACATTCTCTTTCAGAGAGGAGCTTTGAAGCACACTTTTTTTAGTATGTGCAAGTGGACATTTGGAGCGCTTTGAGGCCTACGGGGAAAAAGCAAATATCTTCCCATAACCACTAGACAGGAACATTCTCAGAAACTCCTTTATGACGTATGCACTCACCTAACACAGAAGAACCTTCCTTTTGACAGAGCATTTTTGATACACTCTTTTTGTAGCATCTGCAAGTGGATATTTGGATATCTGTGAAGATTTCGTTGGAAACGGGAATATCTTCCTATAAAATCTAGACAGAAGCATTCTCAGAAACTGCTCTGTGATGTCTGCATTGAAGTCACAGAGTTGAACATTGCCTTTCATAGAGCAGGTTTGAAACGCTCTTTTTGTAGTATATGGAAGTAGACGTTTCGGACGGTTTGAGGCCCATGGTGATAAAGGGAATATCTTCCCCTACAAGCTAGAAAGAAGCATTCTGTGAAACTTGTTTGTGATGTGTGTACTCAACTAACAGAGTTGAACCTTTCTTTTTACAGAGCAGTTTTGAAACACTCTTTTTGTAGAATCTGCGAGGGGAAATTTGGATAGATTTCAGGATTTCTTTGGAAACGGGAATATCTTCATACAAAATCTCGACAGAAGCATTCTCAGAAACTTCTTTGTGATATCTGCATTCCAGTCACAGAGTTGAATATTCCCTTTCACAGAGTAGGTTTGAAACACTCTTTTTATAGTATCTGCAATTGGACATTTGGAGTGCCTTGACGCCTACGGTGAAAAGGGAAATATCTTCCGATAAAAACTAGACAGAAGCAATCTCAGAATCTTCTTTGGGATATATGCACGCAGCTAACAGAGTTGAACCTTTCTATTGACAGAGCAGGTTTGAAACAGTCTTTCTGTGGAATCTGCAAGTGGATATTTGGATAGCTTGGAGGATTTCGTTGGAAACGGGATTACGTATAAAAAGTAGACAGCAGCATCCTCAGAAACTTCTTTGTGATGTGTGCATTCAAGTCACAGAGTTGAACATTCCCTTTCGTACAGCAGTTTTGAAACACTCTTTCTGTGAGTATCTGGTAGTGAACATTAGGACAGCTTTCAGCTCTATGGTGAGAAAGGAAATATCTTCAAATAAAAACTAGACAGAAGCATTCTCATAAACTTGTTTGTGATGTGTGAACTCAGCAAACAGCGGTGGATCTTTCTTTTGATAGAGCAGTTCTGAAAAACACTTTTTGTTGAATCTGCAAGTGGACATTTGGATAGTTTTGAAGATTTCCCTTGGAAAAAGGAATATCTTCATATCAAATCTAGACAGAAGCATTTTCAGAAACGTCTTTGTGATGTTTGCATTCAACTCATAGAGTTGAACATTCCGTTTCAGAGAGCAGCTTTGAGGCACACTTTTTGTAGTATGTGCAAGTGGATATTTGGAGCGCTGCTGAGGCCTACGGTGAAAAAGCAAATATCTTCCCATAACCACTAGACAGAAACATTCTGAGAAACTCCTTTATGACGTATGCACTCACCTAACAGAGAAGAACCTTCCTTTTGACAGAGCATTTTTGATACACTCTTTTTGTAGAATCTGCAAGTGGATATTTGGATAGCTGTGAAGATTTCGTTGGAAACGGGAATATCTTCCTATAAAATCTAGACAGAAGCATTCTCAGAAACTGCTCTGTGATGTCTACATTCAAGTCACAGAGTTGAACATTGCCTTTCATAGAGCAGGTTTGAAACGCTCTTTTTGTAGTATATGGAAGTGGACGTTTCGGACGGTTTGAGGCCCATGGTGATAAAGGGAATATCTTCCCCTACAAGCTAGAAAGAAGCATTCTGTGAAACTTGTTTGTGATGTGTGTACTCAACTAACAGAGTTGAACCTTTCTTTTTACAGAGCAGTTTTGAAACACTCTTTTTGTAGAATCTGTGAGGGGATATTTGGATAGATTTCAGGATTTCCTTGGAAACGGGAATATCTTCATATAAAATCTCGACAGAAGCATTCTCAGAAACTTCTTTGTGATATCTGCATTCAAGTCACAGAGTTGAATATTCCCTTTCACAGAGTAGGTTTGAAACACTCTTTTTGTAGTATCTGGAAGTGGACATTTGGAGCGCCTTAACACCTACGGTGAAAAGGGAAATATCTTCCCATAAAAACTAGACAGAAGCAATCTCAGAATCTTCTTTGGGATATATGCACGCAGCTAACAGAGTTGAACCTTACTATTGACAGAGCAGTTTTGAAACAGTCTTTCTGTGGAATCTGCAAGTGGATATTTGGATAGCTTGGAGTATTTCGTTGGAAACGGGATTAAGTATAAAAAGTAGACAGCAGCATCCTCAGAAACTTCTTTGTGATGTGTGCATTCAAGTCACAGAGTTGAACATTCCCTTTCGTACAGCAGTTTTGAAACACTCTTTCTGTAGTATCTGGAAGTGAACATTAGTACAGCTTTCAGCTCTATGGTGAGAAAGGAAATATCTTCAAATAAAAACTAGACAGAAGCATTCTCATAAACTTGTTTGTGATGTGTGAACTCAGCTAACAGAGGTGGATCTTTCTTTTGATAGAGCAGTTCTGAAAAACACTTTTTGTTGAATCTGCAAGTGGACATTTGGATAGATTTGAAGATTTCGTTGGAAACGGGAATACCTTCATATCAAATCTAGACAGAAGCATTCTCAGAAACGTCTTTGTGATGTTTGCATTCAACTCATAGAGTTGAACATTCCCTTTCACAGAGCAGCTCTGAAGAACTCTTTTGATAGTATGTGCAAGGGGATATTTGTAGCGCTCTCAGGCCTACGGTGAAAAAGCAAATATCTTCCCATAACGACTAGACAGAAACATTTTCAGAAACTCCTTTATGACGTATGCACTCACCTAACAGAGAAGAACCTTCCTTTTGACAGAGCACTTTTGATACACTCTTTTTGTAGAATCTGAAAGTGGATATTTGGATAGCTGTGAAGATTTCGTTGGAAACGAGAATATCTTCCTATAAAATCTAGACAGAAGCATTCTCAGAAACTGCTCTGTGATGTCTGCATTCAAGTCACAGAGTTGAACATTGCCTTTCATAGAGCAGGTTTGAAACGCTCTTTTTGAAGTATATGGAAGTGGACGTTTCGGACGGTTTGAGGCCCATGGTGATAAAGGGAATATCTTCCCCTACAAGCTAGAAAGAAGCATTCTGTGAAACTTGTTTGTGATGTGTGTACTCAACTAACAGAGTTGAACCTTTCTTTTTACAGAGCAGTTTTGAGACACTCTTTTTGTAGAATCTGCGAGGGGATATTTGGATAGATTTCAGGATTTCTTTGGAAACGGGAATATCTTCATATAAAATCTCGACAGAAGCATTCTCAGAAACTTCTTTGTGATATCTGCCTTCAAGTCACAGAGTTGAATATACCCTTTCACAGAGTAGGTTTGAAACACTCTTTTTGTAGTATCTGGAAGTGGACATTTGGAGCGCCTTGACGCCTACGGTGAAAAGGGAAATATCTTCCCATAAAAACTAGACAGAAGCAATCTCAGAATCTTCTTTGGGATATATGCACGCAGCTAACAGAGTTGAACCTTTCTATTGACAGAGCAGTTTTGAAACAGTCTTTCTGTGGAATCTGCAAGTGGATATTTGGATAGATTGGAGGATTTCGTTGGAAACGGGATTACATATAAAAAGTAGACAGCAGCATCCTCAGAAACTTCTTTGTGATGTGTGCATTCAAGTCACAGAGTTGAACATTCCCTTTCGTACAGCAGTTTTGAAACACTCTTTCTGTAGTATCTGGAAGTGAGCATTAGGACAGCTTTCAGGTCTATGGTGAGAAAGGATATATCTTCAAATAAAAACTAGACAGAAGCATTCTCATAAACTTGTTTGTGATGTGTGAACTCAGCTAACAGACGTGGATCTTTCTTTTGATACAGCAGTTTTGAAAAACACTTTTTGTTGAATCTGCAAGTGGACATTTGGATAGATTTGAAGATTTCGTTGGAAACGGGAATATCTTGATATCAAATCTAGACAGAAGCATTCTCAGAAACGTCTTTGTGATGTTTGCATTCAACTCATAGAGTTGAACATTCCGTTTCAGAGAGCAGCTTTGAAGCACTCTTTTTGTAGTATCTGCAAGTGGATATTTGGAGCGCTCTGAGGCCTACGGTGAAAAAGCAAATATCTTCCCATAACCACTAGACAGAAACATTCTCAGAAACTCCTTTATGACGTATGCACTCACCTAACAGAGAAGAACCTTCCTTTTGACAGAGCAGTTTTGATACACTCTTTTTGTAGAATCTGAAAGTGGATATTTGGATAGCTGTGAAGATTTCGTTGGAAACGGGAATATCTTCCTATAAAATCTAGACAGAAGCATTCTCAGAAACTGCTACTGTGATGTCTGCATTCAAGTCACAGAGTTGAACATTGCCTTTCATAGAGCAGGTTTGAAACGCTCTTTTTGTAGTATATGGAAGTTGACGTTTCGGACGGTTTGAGGCCCATGGTGATAAAGGGAATATCTTCCCCTACAAGCTAGAAAGAAGCATTCTGTGAAACTTGTTTGTGATGTGTGTACTCAACTAACAGAGTTGAACCTTTCTTTTTACAGAGCAGTTTTGAAACACTCTTTTTGTAGAATCTGTGAAGGGATATTTGGATAGATTTCAGGATTTCTTTGGAAACGGGAATATCTTCATATAAAATCTCGACAGAAGCATTCTCAGAAACTTCTTTGTGATATGTGCATTAAAGTCACAGAGTTGAATATTCCTTTTCACAGAGTAGGTTTGAAACACTCTTTTTGTAGTATCTGGAAGTGGACATTTGGAGCGCCTTGACACCTACGGTGAAAAGGGAAATATCTTCCCATAAAAACTAGACAGAAGCAATCTCAGAATTTTCTTTGGGATATATGCACACAGCTAACAGAGTTGAACTTTTCTATTGACATAGCAGTTTTGAAACAGTCTTTCTGTGGAATCTGCAAGTGGATATTTGGATAGCTTGGAGGATTTCGTTGGAAACCGGATTACGTATAAAAAGTAGACAGCAGCATCCTCAGAAACTTCTTTGTGATGTGTGCATTCAAGTCACAGAGTTGAATATTCCCTTTCGTACAGCAGTTTTGAAACACTCTTTCTGTAGTATCTGGAAGTGAAAATTAAGACAGCTTTCAGCTCTATGGTGAGAAAGGAAATATCTTCAAATAAAAACTAGACAGAAGCATTCTCATAAACTTGTTTGTGATGTGTGAACTCAGCTAACACACGTGGATCTTTCTTTTGATAGAGCAGTTCTGAAAATCACTTTTGTTGAATCTGCAAGTGGACATTTGGATATATTTGAAGATTTCGTTGGAAACGGGAATATCTTCATATCAAATCTAGACAGAAGCATTCTCAGAAACGTCTTTGTGATGTTTGCATTCAACTCATAGAGTTGAACATTCCCTTTCAGAGAGCAGCTTTGAAGCACTCTTTTTGTAGTATGTGCAAGAGAAAATTTGGAGCGCCCTGAGGCCTACGGTGAAAAAGCAAATATCTTCCCATAACCACTAGACAGAAACATTCTCAGAAACTCCTTTATGACGTATGCACTCACCTAACAGAGAAGAACCTTCCATTTGACAGAGCAGTTTTGATACACTCTTTTTGTAGAATCTGCAAGTGGATATTTGGATAGCTGTGAAGATTTCGCTGGAAACGGGAATATCTTCCTATAAAATCTAGACAGAAGCATTCTCAGAAACTGCGCTGTGATGTCTGCATTCAAGTCACAGAATTGAACATTGCCTTTCATAGAGCAGGTTTGAAACGCTCTTTTTGTACTATATGGAAGAGGACGTTTCGGACGGTTTGAGGACCATGGTGATAAAGGGAATATCTTCCCCTACAAGCTAGAAAGAAGCATTCTGTGAAACTTGTTTGTGATGTGTGTACTCAACTCACAGAGTTGAACCTTTCTTTTTACAGAGCAGTTTTGAAACACTCTTTTTGTAGAATCTGCGAGGGCATATTTGGATAGATTTCAGGATTTCGTTGGAAAGGGGAATATCTTCATATAAAATCTCGACAGAAGCATTCTCAGAAACTTCTTTGTGATATGTGCATTCAAGTCACAGAGTTGAATATTCCCTTTCACAGAGTAGGTTTGAAACACTCTTTTTGTAGTATCTGGAAGTGGACATTTGGAGCGCCTTGACGCCTACAGTGAAAACGGAAATATCTTCCCATAAAAACTAGACAGAAGCAATCTCAGAATCTTCTTTGGGATATATGCACGCAGCTAACAGAGTTGAACCTTTCTATTGACAGAGCAGTTTTGAAACAGTCTTTCTGTGGAATCTGCAAGTGGATATTTGTATAGCTTGGAGGATTTTCGTTGGAAACGGGATTACGTATAAAAAGTAGACAGCAGCATCCTCAGAAACTTCTTTGTGATGTGTGCATTCAAGTCACAGAGTTGAACATTCCCTTTTGTACATCAGTTTTGAAACACTCTTTCTGTAGTATCTGGAAGTGAACATTAGGACAGCTTTCAGGTCTATGGTGAGAAAGGAAATATCTTCAAATAAAAACTAGACAGAAGCATTCTCATAAACTTCTTTGTGATGTGTGAACTCAGCTAACCGAGGTGGATCTTTCTTTTGATAGAGCAGTTCTGAAAAACACTTTTTGTTGAATCTGCAATTGGACATTTGGATAGATTTGAAGATTTCGTTGGAAACGGGAATAACTTCATTTCAAATCTAGACAGAAGCATTCTCAGAAACGTCTTTCCGATGTTTGCATTCAACTCATAGAGTTGAACATTCCCTTTCAGAGAGCAGCTTTGAAGCACTCTTTTTGTAGCATGTGCAAGTGGACATTTGGAGGGCCCTGAGGCCTACGGGGAAAAAGCAAATATCTTCCCATAACCACTAGACAGAAACATTCTCAGAAACTCCTTTATGACGTATGCACTCACCTAACAGAGAAGAACCTTCCTTTTGACAGAGCAGTTTTGATACACTCTTTTTGTAGAATCTGCAAGTGGATATTTGGATAGCTGCGAAGATTTCGTTGGAAACGGGAATATCTTCCTATAAAATCTAGACAGAAGCATTCTCAGAAACTGCTCTGTGATGTCTGCATTCAAGTCACAGAGCTGAACATTGCCTTTCATAGAGCAGGTTTGAAACGCTCTTTTTGTAGTATATGGAAGTGGACGTTTCGGATGGTTTGAGGCCCATGGTGATAAAGGGAATATCTTCCCCTACAAGCTAGAAAGAAAGCATTCTGTGAAACTTGTTTGTGATGTGTGTACTCAACTAACAGAGTTGAACCTTTCTTTTCACAGAGCAGTTTTGAAACACTCTTTTTGTAGAATCTGCGAGGGGATATTTGGATAGATTTCAGGATTTCGTTGGAAACGGGAATATCTTCATATAAAATCTCGACAGAAGCATTCTCAGAAACTTCTTTGTGATACGTGCATTCTAGTCACACCGTTGAATATTCCCTTTCACAGAGTAGGTTTGAAACACTCTTTTTGTAGTATCTGGAAGTGGACATTTGGAGCGCCTTGACGCCTACGGTGAAAAGGGAAATATCTTCCCATAAAAACTAGACAGAAGCAATCTCAGAATCTTCTTTGGGATATATGTACGCAGCTAATAGAGTTGAACCTTTCTATTGACAGAGCAGTTTTGAAACAGTCTTTCTGTGGAATCTGGAAGTGGATATTTGGATAGCTTGGAGGATTTCGTTGGAAACGGGATTACGTATAAAAAGTAGACAGCAGCATCCTCAGAAACATCTTTGTGATGTGTGCATTCAAGTCACAGAGTTGAACATTCCCTTTCGTACAGCAGTTTTGAAACACTCTTTCTGTAGTATCTGGAAGTGAACATTAGGACAGCTTTCCGGTCTATGGTGAGAAAGGAAATATCTTCAAATAAAAACTAGACAGAAGCATTCTCATAAACTTGTTTGTGATGTGTGAACTCAGCTAAGAGACGTGGATCTTTCTTTTGATAGAGCAGTTCTGAAAAACACTTTTTGTTGAATCTGCAAGTGGACATTTGGATAGATTTGAAGATTTCTTTGGAAACGGGAATATCTTCATATGAAATCTAGAGAGAAGCATTCTCAGAAACGTCTTTGTCATGTTTGCATTCAACTCATAGAGTTGAACATTCCGTTTCAGAGAGCAGCTTTGAAGCACTCTTTTTGTAGTATGTGCAAGCGGATATTTGGAGCACTCTGAGGCCTACGGTGAAAAAGCAAATATCTTCCCATAACCACTAGACAGAAACATTCTCAGAAACTCCTCTATGACGTATGCACTCACCTAACAGAGAAGAACCTTCGTTTTGACAGAGCAGTTTTGATACACTCTTTTTGTAGAATCTGCAAGTGGATATTTGGATAGCTGTGAAGATTTCGTTGGAAACGGGAATATCTTCCTATAAAATCTAGACAGAAGCATTTTCAGAAACTGCTCTGTGATATCTGTATTCAAGTCACAGAGTTGAACATTGCCTTTCATAGAGCAGGTTTGAAACGCTCTTTTTGTAGTATATGTAAGTGGATGTTTCGGACGGTTGGAGGCCCATGGTGATAAAGGGAATATCTTCCCCTACAAGCTAGAAAGAAGCATTGTGTGAAACTTGTTTGTGATGTGTGTAGTCAACTAACAGAGTTGAACCTTTCTTTTTACAGAGCAGTTTTGAAACACTCTTTTTGTAGAATCTGCGAGGGGATATTTGGATAGATTTCAGGATTTCGATGGAAACGGGAATATCTTCATATAAAATCTCGACAGAAGCATTCTCAGAAACTTCTTTGTGATATGTGCATTCGAGTCACAGAGTTGAATATTCCCTTTCACAGAGTAGGTTAGAAACACTCTTTTTGTAGTATCTGGAAGTGGACATTTGGAGCGCCTTGACACCTACGGTGAAAAGGGAAATATCTTCCCATAAAAACTAGACAGAAGCAATCTGAGAATCTTCTTTGGGATATATGCACGCAGCTAACAGAGTTGAACCTTTCTATTGACAGAGCAGTTTTGAAACAGTCTTTCTGTGGAATCTGCAAGTGGATATTTGGATAGCTTGGAGGATTTCGTTGGAAACGGGATTACGTATAAAAAGTAGACAGCAGCATCCTCTGAAACTTCTTTGTGATGTGTGCATTCAAGTCACAGAGTTGAACATTCCCTTTCGTACAGCAGTTTTGAAACACTCTTTCTGTAGTATCTGGAAGTGAACATTAGGACAGCTTTCAGCTCTATGGTGAGAAAGGAAATATCTTCAAATAAAAACTAGACAGAAGCATTTTCATAAACTTGTTTGTGATGTGTGAACTCAGCTAACAGAGGTGGATCTTTCTTTTGATAGAGCAGTTCTGAAAAACACTTTTTTTTGAATCTGCAAGTGGACATTTGGATAGATTTGAAGATTTCGTTGGAAACGGGAATATCTTCATATCAAATCTAGACAGAAGCATTCTCAGGAAACGTCTTTGTGATGTTTGCATTCAACTCATAGAGTTGAACATTCCGTTTCAAAGAGCAGCTTTGAGGCACTCTTTTTGTAGTATGTGCAAGTGGATATTTGGAGCGCTCTGAGGCCTACGGTGAAAAAGCAAATATCTTCCCATAACCACTAGACAGAAACATTCTCAGAAACTCGTTTATGACGTATGCACTCACCTAACAGAGAAGAACCTTCCATTTGACAGATCAGTTTTGATACACTCTTTTTGTAGAATCTGCAAGTGGATATTTGGATAGCTGTGAAGATTTTGCTGGAAACGGGAATATCTTCCTATAAAATCTAGACAGAAAGCATTCTCAGAAACTGCTATGTGATGTCTGCATTCAAGTCACAGAGTTGAACATTGCCTTTCCTAGAGCAGGTTTGAAACGCTCTTTTTGTAGTATATGGAAGTGGACGTTTCGGACGGTTTGAGGCCCATGGTGATAAAGGGAATATCTTCCCCTACAAGCTAGAAAGAGCATTGTTTGAAACTTGTTTGTGATGTGTGTACTCAACTAACAGAGTTGAACCTTTCTTTTTACAGAGCAGTTTTGAAACACTCTTTTTGTAGAATCTGCGAGGGGATATTTGGATACATTTCAGCATTTCGTTGGAAACGGGAATATCTTCATATAAAATCTCGACAGAAGCATTCTCAGAAACTTCTTTGTCATATCTGCCTTCAAGTCACAGAGTTGAATATTCCCTTTCACAGAGTAGGTTTGAAACACTCTTTTTGTAGTATCTGGAAGTGGACATTTGGAGTGCCTTGACGCCTACGGTGAAAATGGAAATATCTTCCCATAAAAACTAGACAGAAGCAATCTCAGAATTTTCTTTGGGATATATGCACACAGCTAACTGAGTTGAACTTTTCTATTGACATAGCAGTTTTGAAACAGTCTTTCTGTGGAATCTGCAAGTGGATATTTGGATAGCTTGGAGGATTTCGTTGGAAATGGGATTACGTATAAAAAGTAGACAGCAGCATCCTCAGAAACTTCTTTGTGATGTATGCATTCAACTCCCAGAGTTGAACATTCCCTTTCGTACAGCAGTTTTGAAACACTCTTTCTGTAGTATCTGGAAGTGAACATTAGGACAGCTTTCAGGTCTATGGTGAGAAAGGAAATATCTTCAAATAAAAACTAGACAGAAGCATTCTCATAAACTTGTTTGTGATGTGTGAACTCAGCTAACAGAGGTGGACCTTTCTTTTGATAGAGCAGTTCTGAAAAACACTTTTTGTTGAATCTGCAAGTGGACATTTGGATAGATTTGTAGATTTCGTTGGAAACGGGAATATCTTCATATCAAATCTAGACAGAAGCATTCTCAGAAACGTCTTTGTGATGTTTGCATTCAACTCATAGAGTTGAACATTCCGTTTCAGAGAGCAGCTTTGAAGCACTCTTTTTGTAGTATGTGCAAGTGGATATTTGGAGCGCTCTGAGGCCTACAGTGAAAAAGCAAATATCTTCCCATAACCACTAGACAGAAACATTCTCAGAAACTCCTTTATGACGTATGCACTCACCTAACAGAGAAGAACCTTCCTTTTGACAGAGCAGTTCTGATACACTCTTTTTGTAGAATCTGCAAGTGGATATTTGGATAGCTGTGAAGATTTCGTTGGAAACGGGAATATCTTCCTATAAAATCTAGACAGAAGCATTCTCAGAAACTGCTCTGTGATGTCTGTATTCAAGTCACAGAGTTGAACATTGCCTTTCATAGAGCAGGTTTGAAATGCTCTTTTTGTAGTATATGGAAGTGGACTTTTCGGACGGTTTGAGGCCCATGGTGATAAAGGGAATATCTTCCCCTACAAGCTAGAAAGAAGCATTCTGTGAAACTTGTTTGTGATGTGTGTACTCAATTAACAGAGTTGAACCTTTCTTTTTACAGAGCAGTTTTGAAACACTCTTTTTGTAGAATCTGCGAGGGGATATTTGGATAGATTTCAGGATTTCATTGGAAACGGGAATATCTTCATATAAAATCTCGACAGAAGCAATCTCAGAATCTTCTTTGGGATATATGCACGCAGCTAACAGAGTTGAACCTTTCTATTGACAGAGCAGTTTTGAAACAGTCTTTCTGTGGAATCTGCAAGTGGATATTTGGATAGCTTGGAGGATTTCGTTGGAAACGGGATTACGTATAAAAACTAGACAGCCGCATCCTCAGAAACTTCTTTGTGATGTGTGCATTCAAGTCACAGAATTGAACATTCCCTTTCGTACAGCAGTTTTGAAACACTTTTTCTGTAGCATCTGGAAGAGAACATTAGGACAGCTTTCAGGTCTATGGTGAGAAAGGAAATATCTTCAAATAAAAACTAGACAGAAAGCATTCTCATAAACTTGTTTGTGATGTGTGAACTCAGCTAACAGAGGTGGATCTTTCTTTTGATAGAGCAGTTCTGAAAAACACTTTTTGTTGAATCTGCAAGTGGACATTTGGATAGATTTGAAGATTTCGTTGGAAACGGGAATATCTTCATATCAAATCTAGACAGAGCATTCTCAGAAACGTCTTTGTGATGTTTGCATTCAACTCATAGAGTTGAACATTCCCTTTCAGAGAGCAGCTTTGAAGCACTCTTTTTGTAGCATGTGCAAGTGGACATTTGGAGCGCCCTGAGGCCTACGGGGAAAAAGCAAATATCTTCCCATAACCACTACACAGAAACATTCTCAGAAACTCCTTTATGACGTATGCACTCACCTAACAGAGAAGAACCTTCCTTTTGACAGAGCAGTTTTGATACACTCTTTTTGTAGAATCTGCAAGTGGATATTTTGATAGCTGTGAAGATTTCGTTGGAAACGGGAATATCTTCCTATAATATCTAGACAGAAGCATTCTCAGAAACTGCTCTGTGATGTCTGCATTCAAGTCACAGAGTTGAACATTGCCTTTCCTAGAGCAGGTTTGAAACGCTCTTTTTGTAGTATATGGAAGTGGAAGTTTCGGACGGTTTGAGGCCCATGGTGATAAAGGGAATATCTTCCCCTACAAGCTAGAAGGAAGCATTCTGTGAAACTTGTTTGTGATGTGTGTACTCAACTAACAGAGTTGAACCTTTCTTTTTACAGAGCAGTTTTGAAACACTCTTTTTGTAGAATCTGCGAGGGGATATTTGGATAGATTTCAGGATTTCGTTGCAAACGGGAATATCTTCATAGAAAATCTCGACAGAAGCATTCTCAGAAACTTCTTTGTGATATCTGCCTTCAAGTCACAGAGTTGAATATTCCCTTTCGCAGAGTAGGTTTGAAACACTCTTTTTGTAGTATCTGGAAGTGGACATTTGGAGCTCCTTGACACCTACAGTGAAAAGGGAAATATCTTCCCATAAATACTAGACAGAAGCAATCTCAGAATTTTCTTTGGGATATATGCACACAGCTAACAGAGTTGAACCTTTCTATTGACATAGCAGTTTTGAAACAGTCTTTCTGTGGAATCTGCAAGTGGATATTTGGATAGCTTGGAGGATTTCGTTGGAAACGGGATTACGTATAAGAAGTAGACAGCAGCATCCTCAGAAACTTCTTTGTGATGTGTGCATTCAAGTCACAGAGTTGAACATCACCTTTCGTACAGCAGTTTTGAAACACTCTTTCTGTAGTATCTGGAAGTGAACATTAGGTCAGCTTTCAGGTCTATGGTGAGAAAGGAAATATCTTCAAATAAAAACTAGACAGAAGCATTCTCATAAACTTGTTTGTGATGTGTGAACTCAGCTAAGAGACGTGGATCTTTCTTTTGATAGAGCAGTTCTGAAAAACACTTTTTGTTGAATCTGCAAGTGGACATTTGGATAGGTTTGAAGATTTGCTTTGGAAACGGGAATATCTTCATATCAAATCTAGACAGAAGCATTCTCAGAAACGTCTTTGTGATGTTTGCATTCAACTCATAGAGTTGAACATTCCCTTTCAGAGACCAGCTTTGAAGCACTCTTTTTGTAGCATGTGCAAGTGGACATTTGGAGCGCCCTGAGGCCTACGGGGAAAAAGCAAATATCTTCCCATAACCACTAGACAGAAACATTCTAAGAAACTCCTTTATGACGTATGCACTCACCTAACAGAGAAGAACCTTCCTTTTGACAGAGCAGTTTTGATACACTCTTTTTGTAGAATCTGCAAGTGGATATTTGGATAGCTGTGAAGATTTCGTTGGAAACGGGAATATCTTCCTATAAAATCTAGACAGAAGCATTCTCAGAAACTGCTCTGTGATGTCTGCATTCAAGTCACAGAGTTGAACATTGCCTTTCATAGAGCAGGTTTGAAATGCTCTTTTTGTAGTATATGGAAGTGGACGTTTCAGACGGTTTGAGGCCGATGGTGATAAAGGGAATATCTTCCCCTACAAGCTAGAAAGAAGCATTCTGTGAAACTTGTTTGTGAGGTGTGTACTCAACTAACAGAGTTGAACCTTTCTTTTTACAGAGCAGTTTTGAAACACTCTTTTCGTAGAATCTGCGAGGGGATATTTGGATAGATTTCAGGATTTCGTTGGAAACGGGAATATCTTCATATAAAATCTCGACAGAAGCATTCTCAGAAACTTCTTTGTGATATCTGCATTCAAGTCACAGAGTTGAATATTCCCTTTCACAGAGTAGGTTTGAAACACTCTTTTTGTAGTATCTGGAAGTGGACATTTGGAGCGCCTTGACGCCTACGGTGAAAAGGGAAATATCTTCCCATAAAAACTAGACAGCAAGCAATCTCAGAATCTTCTTTGGGATATATGCACGCAGCTAACAGAGTTGAACCTTTCTATTGACAGAGCAGTTTTGAAACATTCTTTCTGTGGAATCTGCAAGTGGATATTTGGATAGCTTGGAGGATTTCGTTGGAAACGGGATTACGTATAAAAAGTAGACAGAGAATCCTCAGAAACTTCTTTGTGATGTGTGCATTCAAGTCACAGAGTTGAACATTCCCTTTCGTACAGCAGTTTTGAAACACTCTTTCTGTAGTATCTGGAAGTGAACATTAGGACAGCTTTCAGGTCTATGGTGAGAAAGGAAATATCTTCAAATAAAAACTAGACAGAAGCATTCTCATAAACTTGTTTGTGATGTGTAAACTCAGCTAACAGAGGTGGATCTTTCTTTTGATAGAGCAGTTCTGAAAAACACTTTTTGTTGAATCTGCAAGTGGATATTTGGATAGATTTGAAGATTTCGTTGGAAACGGGAATATCTTCATATCAAATCTAGACAGAAGCATTCTCAGAAACGTCTTTGTGATGTTTGCATTCAACTCATAGAGTTGAACATTCCGTTTCAGAGAGCAGCTTTGAAGCACTCTTTTTGTAGTATGTGCAAGTGGATATTTGGAGCGCTCTGAGGCCTACGGTGAAAAAGCAAATATCTTACCATAACCACTAGACAGAAACATTCTCAGAAACTCCTTTATGACGTATGCACTCACCTAACAGAGAAGAACCTTCCTTTTGACAGAGCAGTTTTGATACACTCTTTTTGTAGAATCTCCAAGTGGATATTTGGATAGCTGTGAAGGTTTCGTTGGAAACGGAAATATCTTCCTATAAAATCTAGACAGAAGCATTCTCAGAAACTGCTCTGTGATGTCTGCATTCAAGTCACAGAGTTGAACATTGCCTTTCATAGAGCAGGTTTGAAACCCTCTTTTTGAAGTATATGGAAGTGGACGTTTCGGACGGTCTGAGGCCCATGGTGATAAAGGGAATATCTTCCCCTACAAGCTAGAAAGAAGCATTCTGTGAAACTTGTTTGTGATGTGTGTACTCAACTAACAGAGTTGAACCTTTCTTTTTACAGAGCAGTTTTGAAACACTCTTTTTGTAGAATCTGCGAGGAGATATTTGGATAGATTTCAGGATTTTGTTGGAAACGGGAATATCTTCATATAAAATCGCGACAGAAGCATTCTCAGAAACTTCTTTGTGATATCTGCCTTCAAGTCACAGAGTTGAATATTCCCTTTCTCAGAGTAGGTTTGAAACACTCTTTTTGTAGTATCTGGAAGTGGACATTTGGAGCGCCTTGACACCTACGGTGAAAAGGGAAATATCTTCCCATAAAAACTAGACAGAAGCAATCTCAGAATCTTCTTTGGGATATATGCACGCAGCTAACAGAGTTGAACCTTTCTATTGACAGAGCAGTTTTCAAACAGTCTTTCTGTGGAATCTGCAAGTGGATATTTGGATAGCTTGGAGGATTTCGTTGGAAACGGGATTACGTATAAAAAGTAGACAGCAGCATCCTCAGAAACTTCTTTGTGATGTGTGCATTCAAGTCACACAGTTGAACATTCCCTTTCGTACAGCAGTTTTGAAACACTCTTTCTGTAGTATCTGGAAGTGAACATTAGGACAGCTTTCAGCTCTATGGTGAGAAAGGAAATATCTTCAGATAAAAACTAGACAGAAGCATTCTCATAAACTTGTTTGTGATGTGTGAACTCAGCTAACAGAGGTGGATCTTTCTTTTGATAGAGCAGTTCTGAAAAACACTTTTTGTGGAATCTGCAAGTGGACATTTGAATAGATTTGAAGATTTCGTTGGAAACGGGAATATCTTCATATCAAATCTAGACAGAAGCATTCTCAGAAACGTCGTTGTGATGTTTGCATTCAACTCATAGAGTTGAACATTCCGTTTCAGAGAGCAGCTTTGAGGCACTCTTTTTGTAGTATGTGCAAGTGGATATTTGGAGCGCTCTGAGGCCTACGGTGAAAAAGCAAATATCTTCCCATAACCACTAGACAGAAACATTCTCAGAAACTCCTTTATGACGTATGTACTCAACTAACAGAGAAGAACCTTCCTTTTGACAGAGCAGTTTTGATGCACTCTTTTTGTAGAATCTGCAAGTGGATATTTGGATAGCTGTGAAGATTTCGTTGGAAACGGGAATATCTTCCTATAAAATCTAGACAGAAGCATTCTCAGAAACAGCTCTGTGATGTCTGCATTCAAGTCACAGAGTTGAACATTGCCTTTCATAGAGCCGGTTTGAAACGCTCTTTTTGTAGTATATAAAAGTGGACGTTTCGGACGGTTTGAGGCCCATGGTGATAAAGGGAATATCTTCCCCTACAAGCTAGAAAGAAGCATTCTGTGAAACTTGTTTGTGATGTGTGTACTCAACTAACAGAGTTGAACCTTTCTTTTTACAGAGCAGTTTTGAAACACTCTTTTTGTAGAATCTGCGAGGGGATATATGGATAGATTTCAGGATTTCGTTGGAAACGGGAATATCTTCATATAAAATCTCGACAGAAGCATTCTCAGAAACTTCTTTGTGATATCTGCATTCAAGTCACAGAGTTGAATATTCCCTTTCACAGTGTAGGTTTGAAACACTCTTTTGTAGTATCTGGAAGTGTACATTTGGAGCGCCTTGACGCCTACGGTGAAAAGGGAAATATCTTCCCATAAAAACTAGACAGAAGCAATCTCAGAATCTTCTTTGGGATATATGCACGCAGCTAACAGAGTTGAACCTTTCTATTGACAGAGCAGTTTTGAAACAGTCTTTCTCTGGAATCTGCATGTGGATATTTGGATAGCTTGGAGGATTTCGTTGGAAACGGGATTACGTATAAAAAGTAGACAGCAGCATCCTCAGAAACTTCTTTGTGATGTGTGCATTCAAGTCACAGAGTTGAACATTCCCTTTCGTACAGCAGTTTTGAAACACTCTTTCTGTAGCATATGGAAGTGAACATTAGAACAGCTTTCAGATCTATGGTGAGAAAGGAAATATCTTCAAATAAAAACTAGACAGAAGCATTCTCATAAACTTGTTTGTGATGTGAGAACTCAGCTAACAGAGGTGGATGTTTCTTTTGATAGAGCAGTTCTGAAAAACACTTTTTGTTGAATCTGCAAGTGGACATTTGGATAGATTTGAAGATTTCGTTGGAAACGGGAATATCTTCATATCAAATCTAGACAGAAGCATTCTCAGAAACGTCGTTGTGATGTTTGCATTCAACTCATAGAGTTGAACATTCCGTTTCAGAGAGCAGCTTTGAGGCACTCTTTTTGTAGTATGTGCAAGTGGATATTTGGAGCGCTCTGAGGCCTTCGGTGAAAAAGCAAATATCTTCCCATAACCACTAGACAGAAACATTCTCAGAAACTCCTGTATGACGTATGCACTCACCTAACAGAGAAGAACCTTCCTTTTGACAGAGCAGTTTTGATACACTCTTTTTGTAGGATCTGCAAGTGGATATTTGGATAGCTGTGAAGATTTCGTTGGAAACGGGAATATCTTCCTATAAAATCTAGACAGAAGCATTCTCAGAAACTGCTCTGTGATGTCTGCATTCAAGTCACAGAGTTGAACATTGCCTTTCATAGAGCAGGTTTGAAACGCTCTTTTTGTAGTATATGGAAGTGGATGTTTCGGACGGTTGGAGGCCCGTGGTGATAAAGGGAATATCTTCCCCTACAAGCTAGAAAGAAACATTCTGTGAAACTTGTTTGTGATGTGTGTACTCAACTAACAGAGTTGAACCTTTCTTTTTACAGAGCAGTTTTGAAACACTCTTTTTGTAGAATCTGCGAGGGGATATTTGGATAGATTTCAGGATTTCGTTGGAAACGGGAGTATCTTCACATAAAATCTCGACAGAAGCATTCTCAGAAACTTCTTTGTGATATGTGCATTCAAGTCACAGAGTTGAATATTCCCTTTCACAGAGTAGGTTTGAAACACTCTTTTTGTAGTATCTGGAAGTGGACATTTGGAGCGCCTTGACACCTACGGTGAAAAGGGAAATATCTTCCCATAAAAATTAGACAGAAGCAATCTCAGAATCTTCTTTGGGATATATGCACGCAGCTAACAGAGTTGAACCTTTCTATTGACAGAGCAGTTTTGAAACAGTCTTTCTGTGGAATCTGCAAGTGGATATTTGGATAGCTTGGAGGATTTCGTTGGAAACGGGATTACGTATACAAAGTAGCCAGCAGCATCCTCAGAAACTTCTTTGTGATGTGTGCATTCAAGTCACAGAGTTGAACATTCCTTTTCGTACAGCAGTTTTGAAACACTCTTTCTGTAGTAACTGGAAGTGAACATTAGGACAGCTTTCAGCTCTATGGTGAAAAAGGAAATATCTTCAAATAAAAACTAGACAGAAGCATTCTCATAAACTTGTTTGTGATGTCTGAACTCAGCTAACAGAGGTGGATCTTTCTTCTGATAGAGCAGTACTAAAAACGCTTTTTGTTGAATCTGCAAGTGGACATTTGGATAGATTTGAAGATTTCGTTGGAAACGGGAATATCTTCATATCAAATCTAGACAGAAGCATTCTCAGAAACGTCTTTGTGATGTTTGCATTCAACTCATAGAGTTGAACATTCCGTTTCAAAGAGCAGCTTTGAGGCACTCTTTTTGTAGTATGTGCAAGTGGATATTTGGAGCGCTCTGAGGCCTAAGGTGAAAAAGCAAATATCTTCCCATAACCACTAGACAGAAACATTCTCAGAAACTTCTTTATGACGTATGTACTCAAGTAGCAGAGAAGAACTTTCCTTTTGACAGAGCATTTTTGATACATTCTTTTTCTAGTATCTGCAAGTGGATATTTGGATAGCTGTGAAGATTTCGTTGGAAACGGGAATATCTTCCTATAAAGTCTGGACAGAAGCATTCTCAGTAAACTGCTCTGTGATGTCTGCATTCAAGTCACAGAGTTGAACATTGCCTTTCATAGAGCAGGTTTGAAACGCTCTTTTTGTAGTATATGGAAGTGGACGTTTCGGACGGTTTGAGGCCCATGGTGATAAAGGGAATATCTTCCCCTACAAGCTAGAAAGAAGCATTCTGTGAAACTTGTTTGTGATGTGTGTACTCAACTAACAGAGTTGAACCTTTCTTTTTACAGAGCAGTTTTGAAACACTCTTTTTGTAGAATCTGCGAGGGGATATTTGGATAGATTTCAGGATTTCTTTGGAAAGGGGAATATCTTCATATAAAATCTCGACAGAAGCATTCTCAGAAACTTCTTTGTGATATGTGCATTCAAGTCACAGAGTTGAATATTCCCTTTCACAGAGTAGGTTTGAAACACTCCTTTTGTAGTATCTGGAAGTGGACATTTGGAGCGCCTTGACGCCTACGGTGAAAAGGGAAATATCTTCTCATAAAAAGTAGACAGAAGCAATCTCAGAATCTTCTTTGGGATATATGCACGCAGGCTAACAGAGTTGAACCTTTCTATTGACAGAGCAGTTTTGAAACAGTCTTTCTGTGGAATCTGCAAGTGGATATTTGGATAGCTTGGAGGATTTCGTTGGAAACGGGATTACGTATAAAAAGTAGACAGCAGCATCCTCAGAAACTTCTTTGTGATGTGTGCATTCAAGTCACAGAGTTGAACATTCCCTTTCGTACAGCAGTTTTCAAACACTCTTTCTGTAGTATCTGGAAGTGAACATTAGGACAGCTTTCAGCTCTATGGTGAGAAAGGAAATATCTTCAAATAAAAACAAGACAGAAGCATTCTCATTAACTTGTTTGTGATGTGTGAACTCAGCTAACACAGGTGGATCTTTCTTTTGATAGAGCAGTTCTGAAAAACATTTTTTGTTGAATCTGCAAGTGGACATTTGGATAGATTTGAAGATTTCGTTGGAAACGGGAATATCTTCATATCAAATCTAGACAGAAGCATTCTCAGAAACGTCTTTGTGATGTTTGCATTCAACCCATAGAGTTGAACATTCCCTTTCAGAGAGCAGCTTTGAAGCACTCTTTTTGTAGTATGTGCAAGGGGATATTTGGAGCGCTCTGTGGCCTAAGGTGAAAAATCAAATATCTTCCCATAACCACTAGACAGAAACATTCTCAGAAACTCCTTTATGACGTATGCACTCACCTAACAGAGAAGAACCTTCCTTTTGACAGAGCAGTTTTGATACACTCTTTTTGTAGAATCTGCAAGTGGATATTTGGATAGCTGTGAAGATTTCGTTGGAAACGGGAATATCTTCTTATAAAATCTAGACAGAAGCATTCTCAGAAACTGCTCTGTGATGTCTGCATTCAAGTCACAGAGTTGAACATTGCTTTTCCTAGAGCAGGTTTGAAACGCTCTTTTTGTAGTATATGGAAGTGGACGTTTCGGACGGTTTGAGGCCCATGGTGTTAAAGGGAATATCTTTCCCTACAAGCTGGAAAGAAGCATTCTGTGAAACTTGTTTGTGATGTGTGCACTCAACTAACAGAGCCTTTCTTTTTACAGAGCAGTTTTGAAACACTCTTTTTGTAGAATCTGCGAGGGGATATTTGGATAGATTTCAGGATTTCGTTGGAAACGGGAATATCTTCATATAAAATCTCGACAGAAAGCATTCTCAGAAACTTCTTTGTGATATGTGCATTCAAGTCACAGAGTTGAATATTCCCTTTCACAGAGTAGGTTTGAAACACTCTTTTTGTAGTATCTGGAAGTGGACATTTGGAGCGCCTTGACGCCTACGGTGAAAAGGGAAATATCTTCCCATAAAAACTAGACAGAAGCAATCTCAGAATCTTCTTTGGGATATATGCACGCAGCTAACAGAGTTGAACCTTTCTATTGACAGAGCAGTTTTGAAACACTCTTTCTGTGGAATCTGCAAGTGGATATTTGGAGAGCTTGGAGGATTTCGTTGGAAACGGGATTACGTATAAAAAGTAGACAGCAGCATCCTCAGAAACTTCTTTGTGATGTGCGCATTCAAGTCACAGAGTTGAACATTCCCTTTCGTACAGCAGTTTTGAAACACTCTTTCTGTAGTAACTGGAAGTGAACATTAGGACAGCTTTCAGGTCTATGGTGAGAAAGGAAATATCTTCAAATAAAAACTAGACAGAAGCATTCTCATAAACTTGTTTGTGATGTGTGAACTCAGCTAACAGAGGTGGATCTTTCTTTTGATAGAGCAGTTCTGAAAAACACTTTTTGTTGAATCTGCAAGTGGACATTTGGATAGATTTGAAGATTTCGTTGGAACCGGGAATATCTTCATATCAAATCTAGACAGAAGCATTCTCAGAAACGTCTTTGTGATGTTTGCATTCAACTCATAGAGTTGAACATTCCGTTTCAGAGAGCAGCTTTGAGGCACTCTTTTTGTAGTATGTGCAAGTGGATATTTGGAGCGCTCTGAGGCCTACGGGGAAAAAGCAAATATCTTCCCATAACCACTAGACAGAAACATTCTCAGAAACTCCTTTATGATGTATGCACTCACCTAACAGAGAAGAACCTTCCTTTTGACAGAGCAGTTTTGATGCACTCTTTTTGTAGAATCTGCAAGTGGATATTTGGATAGCTGTGAAGATTTCGTTGGAAACAGGGAATATCTTCCTATAAAATCTAGACAGAAGCATTCTCAGAAACTGCTCTGTGATGTCTGCATTCAAGTCACAGAGTTGAACATTGCCTTTCGTAGAGCAGGTTTGAAACGCTCTTTTTGTAGTATATGGAAGTGGATGTTTCGGACGGTTGGAGGCCCATGGTGATAAAGGGAATATCTTCCCCTACAAGCTAGAAAGAAGCATTCTGTGAAACTTGTTTGTGATGTGTATACTCAACTAACAGAGTTGAACCTTTCTTTTTACAGAGCAGTTTAGAAACACTCTTTTTGTAGAATCTGCGAGGGGATATTTGGATAGATTTCAGGATTTCGTTGGAAACGGGAATATCTTCATTTAAAATCTCGACAGAAGCATTCTCAGAAACTTCTTTGTGATATCTGCATTCAAGTCACAGAGTTGAATATTCCCTTTCACAGAGTAGGTTTGAAACACTCTTTTTGTAGTATCTGGAAGTGGACATTTGGAGCACCTTGACACCTACGGTGAAAAGGGAAATATCTTCCGATAAAAACTAGACAGAAGCAATCTCAGAATCTTCTTTGGGATATATGCACGCAGCTAACAGAGTTGAACCTTTCTATTGACAGAGCAGTTTTGAAACAGTCTTTCTGTGGAATCTGCAAGTGGATATTTGGATAGCTTGGAGGATTTCGTTGGAAACGGGATTAAGTATAAAAGGTAGACAGCAGCATCCTCAGAAACTTCTTTGTGATGTGTGCATTCAAGTCACAGAGTTGAACATTCCCTTTCGTACAGCAGTTTTGAAACACTCTTTCTGTAGTATCTGGAAGTGAACATTAGGACAGCTTTGAGGTCTATGGTGAGAAAGGAAATATCTTCAAATAAAAACTAGACAGAAGCATTCTCATAAACTTGTTTGTGATGTGTGAACTCAGCTAACAGAGGTGGATCTTTCTTTTGATAGAGCAGTTCGGAAAAACACTTTTTGTTGAATCTGCAAGTGGACATTTGGATAGATTTGAAGATTTCGTTGGAAACGGGAATAACTTTATATCAAATCTAGACAGTAGCATTCTCAGAAACGTCTTTGTGATGTTTGCATTCAACTCATAGAGTTGAACATTCCCTTCCAGAGAGCAGCTTTGAAGCACTCTTTTTCTAGCATCTGCAAGTGGACATTTGGAGCGCCCTTAGTCCTAAGGGGAAAAAGCAAATATCTTCCCATAACCACTAGACAGAAACATTCTCAGAAACTCCTTTATGACGTATGCACTCACCTAACAGAAAAGAACCTTCCTTTTGACAGAGCAGTTTTGATACACTCTTTTTGTAGAATCTGCAAGTGGATATTTGGATAGCTGTGAAGACTTCGTTGGAAACGGGAATATCTTCCTATAAAATCTAGACAGAAAGCATTCTCAGAAACTGCTCTGTGATGTCTGCATTCAAGTCACAGAGTTGAACATTGCCTTTCCTAGAGCAGGTTTGAAACGCTCTTTTTGTAGTATATGGAAGTGGACGTTTCGGACGGTTTGAGGCCCATGGTGATAAAGGGAATATCTTCCCCTACAAGCTAGAAAGAAGCATTCTGTGAAACTTGTTTGTGATGTGTGTACTCAACTAACAGAGTTGAACCTTTCTTTTTACAGAGCAGTTTTGAAACACTCTTTTTGTAGAATCTGCGAGGGGATATTTGGAGAGATTTCAGGATTTCGTTGGAAACGGGAATATCTTCATATAAAATCTAGACAGAAGCATTATCAGAAACTTCTTTGTGATATCTGCCTTTAAGTCACAGAGTTGAATATTCCCTTTCACAGAGTAGGTTTGAAACACTCTTTTTGTAGTATCTGGAAGTGGACATTTGGAGCGCCTTGACACCTACGGTGAAAAGGGAAATATCTTCCCATAAAAACTAGACAGAAGCAATCTCAGAATCTTCTTTGGGATATATGCACGCAGCTAACAGAGTTGAACCTTTCTATTGACAGAGCAGTTTTGAAACAGTCTTTCTGTGGAATCTGCAAGTGGATATTTGGATAGCTTGGAGGATTTCGTTGGAAATGGGATTACGTATAAAAAGTAGACAGCAGCATCCTCAGAAACTTCTTTGTGATGTGTGCATTCAAGTCACAGAGTTGAACATTCCCTTTCGTACAGCAGTTTTGAAACACTCTTTCTGTAGTATCTGGAAGTGAACATTAGGACAGCTTTCAGGTCTATGGTGAGAATGGAAATATATTCAAATAAAAACTAGACAGAAGCATTCTGATAAACTTGTTTGTGAAGTGTGAACTCAGCTAACGGAGGTGGATCTTTCTTTTGATAGAGCAGTTCTGAAAAACACTTTTTGTTGAATCTGCAAGTGGACATTTGGATAGATTTGAAGATTTCGTTGGAAACGGGAATATCTTCATATCAAATCTAGACAGAAGCATTCTCAGAAACGTCTTTGTGATGTTGGCATTCAACTCATAGAGTTGAAGATTCCCTTTCAGAGAGCAGCTTTGAAGCACTCTTTTTGTAGTATGTGCAAGGGGATATTTGGAGCGCTCTGAGGCCTAAGGTGAAAAAGCAAATATCTTCCCATAACCACTAGACAGAAACATTCTCAGAAACTCCTTTATGACGTATGCACTCACCTAACAGAGAAGAACCTTCCTTTTGACAGAGCAGTTTTGATACACTCTTTTTGTAGAATCTGCGAGGGGATATTTGGATAGCTGTGAAGATTTCGTTGGAAACGGGAATATCTTCCTATAAAATCTAGACAGAAGCATTCTCAGAAACTGCTCTGTGATGTCTGCATTCAAGTCACAGAGTTGAACATTGCCTTTCCTAGAGCAGGTTTGAAACGCTCTTTTTGTAGTATATGGAAGTGGACGTTTCGGACGGTTGGAGGCCCATGGTGATAAAGGGAATATCTTCCCCTACAAGCTAGAAAGAAGCATTCTGTGAAACTTGTTTGTGATGTGTGTACTCAAGTAACAGAGTTGAACCTTTCTTTTTACAGAGCAGTTTTGAAACACTCTTTCTGTAGAATCTGCGAGGGGATATTTGGATAGATTTCAGGATTTCGTTGGAAACGGGAATATCTTCAGATAAAATCTCGACAGAAGCATTCTCAGAAACTTCTTTGTGATATGTGCATTCAAGTCACAGAGTTGAATATTCCCTTTCACAGAGAAGGTTTGAAGCACTCTTTTTGTAATATCTGGAAGTGGACATTTGGAGCGCCTTGACGCCTACGGTGAAAAGGGAAATATCTTCCCATAAAAACTAGACAGAAGCAATCTCAGAATCTTCTTTGGGATATATGCACGCAGCTAACAGAGTTGAACCTTTCCATTGACAGAGCAGTTTTGAAACAGTCTTTCTGTGGAATCTGCAAGTGGATATTTGGATAGCTTGGAGGATTTCGTTGGAAACGGGATTACGTATAAAAAGTAGACAGCAGCATCCTCAGAAACTTCTTTGTGATGTGTGCATTCAAGTCACAGAGTTGAATATTCCCTTTCGTACAGCAGTTTTGAAACACTCTTTCTGTGAAACACTCATCTGGAAGTGAACATTAGGACAGCTTTCAGGTCTATGGTGAGAAAGGAAATATCTTCAAATAAAAACTAGACAGAAGCATTCTCATAAACTTGTTTGTGATGTGTGAACTCAGATAACAGAGGTGGATCTTTCTTTTGATAGAGCAGTTCTGAAAAACACTTTTTGTTGAATCTGCAAGTGGACATTTGGATAGATTTGAAGATTTCGTTGGAAACGGGAATATCTTCATATCAAATCTAGACAGAAGCATTCTCGGAAACGTCTTTGTGATGTTTGCATTCAACTCATAGAGTTGAACATTCCGTTTCAGAGAGCAGCTTTGAAGCACTCTTTTTGTAGTATGTGCAAGTGGATATTTGGAGCGCTCTGAGGCCTACGGTGGAAAAGCAAATATCTTCCCATAACCACTAGACAGAAACATTCTCAGAAACTCCTTTATGACGTATGTACTCAACTAACGGAGAAGAACCTTCCTTTTGACAGAGCATTTTTGATACACTCTTTTTGTAGAATCTGCAAGTGGATATTTGGATAGCTGTGAAGATTTCATTGGAAACGGGAATATCTTCCTATAAAATCTAGACAGAAGCATTCTCAGAAACTGCTCTGTGATGTCTGCATTCAAGTCACAGAGTTGAACATTGCCTTTCTTAGAGCAGGTTTGAAACGCTCTTTTTGTAGTATATGGAAGTGGATGTTTCGGACGGTTGGAGGCCCATGGTGATAAAGGGAATATCTTCCCCTACAAGCTAGAAAGAAGCATTCTGTGAAACTTGTTTGTGATGTGTGTACTCAACTAACAGAGTTGAACCTTTCTTTTCACAGAGCAGTTTTGAAACACTCTTTTTGTAGAATCTGCAAGGGGATATTTGGATAGATTTCAGGATTTCGTTGGAAACGGGAATATCTTCATATAAAATCTCGACAGAATCATTCTCAGAAACTTCTTTGTGATATCTGCATTCAAGTCACAGAGTTGAATATTGCCTTTCACAGAGTAGGTTTGAAACACTCTTTTTGTAGTATCTGGAAGTGGACATTTGGAGCGCCTTGACACCTACGGTGAAAAGGGAAATATCTTCCCATAAAAACTAGACAGAAGCAATCTCAGAATCTTCTTTGGGATATATGCACGCAGCTCACAGAGTTGAACCTTTCTATTGACAGAGCAGTTTTGAAACAGTCTTTCTGTGGAATCTGCAAGTGGATATTTGGATAGCTTGGAGGATTTCGTTGGAAACGGGATTACGTATAAAAAGTAGACAGCAGCATCCTCAGAAACTTCTTTGTGATGTGTGCATTCAAGTCACAGAGTTGAACATTCCCTTTCGTACAGCAGTTTTGAAACACTCTTTCTGTAGTATCTGGAAGTGAACATTAGGACAGGTTTCAGGTCTATGGTGAGAAAGGAAATATCTTCAAATAAAAACTAGACAGAAGCATTCTCATAAACTTGTTCGTGATGTGTGAACTCAGCTAACACACGTGGATCTTTCTTTTGATAGAGCAGTTCTGAAAAACACTTTTTGTTGAATCTGCAAGAGGACATTTGGATAGATTTGAAGATTTCTTTGGAAACGGGAATATCTTCATATCAAATCTAGACAGAAGCATTCTCAGAAACGTCTTTGTGATGTTTGCATTCAACTCATAGAGTTGAACATTCCGTTTCAGAGAGCAGCTTTGAAGCACTCTTTTTGTAGTATGTGCAAGTGGATATTTGGAGCGCTCTGAGTCCTACGGGGAAAAAACAAATATCTTCCCATAACCACTAGACTGAAACATTCTCAGAAACTCCTTTATGACGTATGCACTCACCTAACAGAGAAGAACCTTCCTTTTGGCAGAGCAGTTTTGATACACTCTTTTTGTAGAATCTGCAAGTGGATATTTGGATAGCTGTGAAGGTTTCGTTGGAAACGGGAATATCTTCCTATAAAATCTAGACAGAAGCATTCTCAGAAACTGCTCTGTGATGTCTGCATTCAAGTCACAGAGTTGAACATTCCCTTTCCTAGAGCAGGTTTGAAACGCTCTTTTTGTAGTATATTGAAGTGGACCTTTCGGATGGTTTGAGGCCCATGGTGATAAAGGGAATATCTTCCCCTACAAGCTAGAAAGAAGCATTCTGTGAAACTTGTTTGTGATGTGTGTACTCAACTAACAGAGTTGAACCTTTCTTTTTACAGAGCAGTTTTGAAACACTCTTTTTGTAGAATCTGTGAGGGGATATTTGGATAGATTTGAGGATTTCGTTGGGAACGGGAATATCTTCATATAAAATCTCGACAGAAGCATTCTCAGAAACTTCTTTGTGATATCTGCCTTTAAGTCACAGAGTTGAATATTCCCTTTCATAGAGTAGGTTTGAAACACTCTTTTTGTAGTATCTGGAAGTGGACATTTGGAGCGCCTTGACACCTACGGTGAAAAGGGAAATATCTTCCCATAAAAACTAGACAGAAGCAATCTCAGAATCTTCTTTGGGATATATGCACGCAGTTAACAGAGTTGAACCTTTCTATTGACAGAGCAGTTTTGAAACAGTCTTTCTGTGGAATCTGCAAGTGGATATTTGGATAGCTTGGAGGATTTCGTTGGAAACGGGATTACGTATAAAACGTAGACAGCAGCATCCTCAGAAACTTCTTTCTGATGTGTGCATTCAAGTCACAGAGTTGAACATTCCCTTTCGTACAGCAGTTTTGAAACACTCTTTCTGTAGTATCTGGAAGTGAACATTAGGACAGCTTTCAGGTCTATGGTGAGAAAGGAAATATCTTCAAATAAAAACTAGACAGAAGCATTCTCATAAAGTTGTTTGTGAGGTGTGAACTCAGCTAACAGAGGTGGATCTTTCTTTTGATAGAGCAGTTCTGAAAAACACTTTTTGTTGAATCTGCAAGTGGACATTTGGATAGATTTGAAGATTTCGTTGGAAACGGGAATATCTTCATATCAAATCTAGACAGAAGCATTCTCAGAAACGTCTTTGTGTTGTTTGCATTCAACTCATAGAGTTGAACATTCCCTTTCAGAGAGCAGCTTTGAAGCACTCTTTTTGTAGCATGTGCAAGTGGACATTTGGAGCGCTCTGAGGCCTACGGGGAAAAAGCAAATATCTTCCCATAACCACTAGACAGAAACATTCTCAGAAACTTCTTTATAACGTATGTACTCAACTAGCAGAGAAGAACTTTCCTTTTGACAGAGCATTTTTGATACACTCTTTTGTAGTATCTGCAAGTGGATATTTGGATAGCTGTGAAGATTTCGTTGGAAACGGGAATATCTTCCTATAAAGTCTGGACAGAAGCATTCTCAGAAACTGCTCTGTGATGTCTGCATTCAAGTCACAGAGTTGAACATTGCCTTTCCTAGAGCAGGTTTGAAACGCTCTTTTTGTAGTATATGGAAGGTGGACGTTTCGGACGGTTTGAGGCCCATGGTGATAAAGGGAATATCTTCCCCTACAAGCTAGAAAGAAGCATTCTCTGAAACTTGTTTGTGATGTGTGTACTCAACTAACAGAGTTGAACCTTTCTTTTTACAGAGCAGTTTTGAAACACTCTTTTTGTAGAATCTGCGAGGGGATATTTGGATAGATTTCAGGATTTCGTTGGAAACGGGAATATCTTCATATAAAATCTCGACAGAAGCATTCTCAGAAACTTCTTTGTGATATCTGCATTCCAGTCACAGAGTTGAATATTCTCTTTCACAGAGTAGTTTTGAAACACTCTTTTTATAGTATCTGGAATTGGACATTTGGAGCGCCTTGACGCCTACGGTGAAAAGGGAAATATCTTCCCATAAAAACTAGACAGAAGCAATCTCAGAATCTTCTTTGGGATATATGTACGCAGCTAACAGTAGTTGAACCTTTCTATTGACAGACCCGTTTTGAAACAGTCTTTCTGTGGAATCTGCAAGTGGATATTTGGATAGCTTGGAGGATTTCTTTGGAAACGGGATTACGTATAAAAAGTAGACAGCAGCATCCTCAGAAACTTCTTTGTGATGTGTGCATTCAAGTCACAGAGTTGAACATTCCCTTTCGTACAGCAGTTTTGAAACACTCTTTCTGTAGTATCTGGAAGTGAACATTAGGACAGCTTTCAGGTCTATGGTGAGAAAGGAAAGATCTTCAAATAAAAACTAGACAGAAGCTTTCTCATAAACTTGTTTGTGATGTGTGAACTCAGCTAACAGAGGTGGATCTTTCTTTTGATACAGCAGTTTTGAAAAACACTTTTTGTTGAATCTGCAAGTGGACATTTGGATAGATTTGAAGATTTCGTTGGAAACGGGAATATCTTCATATCAAATCTAGACAGAAGCATTCTCAGAAACGTCTTTGTGATGTTTGCATTCAACCCATAGAGTTGAACATTCCGTTTCAGAGAGCAGCTTTGAGGCACTCTTTTTGTAGTATGTGCAAGTGGATATTTGGTGCGCTGTGAGGCCTACGGTGAAAAAGCAAATATCTTCCCATAACCACTAGACAGAAACATTCTCAGAAACTCCTTTATGACGTATGCACTCACCTAACAGAGAAGAACCTTCCTTTTGACAGAGCAGTTTTGATACACTCTTTTTGTAGAATCTGCAAGTGGATATTTGGATAGCTGTGAAGATTTCGTAGGAAACGGGAATATCTTCCTATAAAATCTAGACAGAAGCATTCTCAGAAACTACTCTGTGATGTCTGCATTCAAGTCACAGAGTTGAACATTGCCTTTCCTAGAGCAGGTTTGAAACGCTCTTTTTGTAGTATATGGAAGTGGACGTTTCGGACGCTTTGAGGCCCATGGTGATAAAGGGAATATCTTCCCCTACAAGCTAGAAAGAAGCATTCTGTGAAACTTGTTTGTGATGTGTGTACTCAACTAACAGAGTTGAACCTTCCTTTTTAGAGAGCAGTTTTGAAACACTCTTTTTGTAGAATCTGCGAGGGGATATTTGGATAGATTTCAGGATTTCGTTGGAAACGGGAATATCTTCATATAAAATCTCGACAGAAGCATTCTCAGAAACTTCCTTGTGATATGTGCATTCAAGTCACAGAGTTGAATATTCCCTTTCACAGAGTAGGTTTGAAACACTCTTTTTGTAGTATCTGGAAGTGGACATTTGGAGCGCCTTGACGCCCACGGTGAAAAGGGAAATATCTTCCCATCAAAACTAGACAGAAGCAATCTCAGAATCTTCTTTGGGATATATGCACGCAGCTAACAGAGTTGAACCTTTCTATTGACAGAGCAGTTTTGAAACAGTCTTTCTGTGGAATCTGCAAGTGGATATTTGGATAGCTTGGAGGATTTCGTTGGAAACGGGATTACGCATAAAAAGTAGACAGCAGCGTCCTCAGGAACTTCTTTGTGATGTGTGCATTCAAGTCACAGAGTTGAACATTCCCTTCCGTACAGCAGTTTTGAAACACTCTTTCTGTAGTATCTGGAAGTGAACATTAGGACAGCTTTCAGGTCTATGGTGAGAAAGGAAATATCTTCAAATAAAAACTAGACAGAAGCATTCTCATAAACTTGTTTGTGATGTGTGAACTCATCTAACAGAGGTGGATCTTTCTTTTGATAGAGCAGTTCTGAAAAACACTTTTTGTTGAATCTGCAAGTGGACATTTGGATAGATTTGAAGATTTCGTTGGAAACGGGAATATCTTCATATCAAATCTAGACAGAAGCATTCTCGGAAACGTCTTTGTGATGTTTGCATTCAACTCATAGAGTTGAACATTACGTTTCAGAGAGCAGCTTTGAAGCACTCTTTTTGTAGTATGTGCAAGTGGATATTTGGAGCGCTCTGAGGCCTACGGTGAAAAAGCAAATATCTTCCCATAACCACTAGACAGAAACATTCTCAGAAACTCCTTTATGACGTATGCACTCACCTAACGGAGAAGAACCTTCCTTTTGACAGAGCACTTTTGATACACTCTTTTTGTAGAATCTGCAAGTGGATATTTGGATAGCTGTGAAGATTTCGTTGGAAACGGGAATATCTTCTTATAAATTCTAGACAGAAGCATTCTCAGAAACTGCTCTGTGATGTCTGCATTCAAGTCACAGAGTTGAACATTGCCTTTCATAGAGCAGGTTTGAAATGCTCTTTTTGTAGTATATGGAACTGGATGTTTCGGAAGGTTGGAGGCCCATGGTGATAAAGGGAATATCTTCCCCTACAAGCTAAAAAGAAGCATTCTGTGAAACTTGTTTGTGATGTGTGTACTCAACTAACAGAGTTGAACCTTTCTTTTTACAGAGCAGTTTTGAAACACTCTTTTTGTAGAATCTGCGAGGGGATAATTGGATAGATTTCAGGATTTCGTTGGAAACGGGAATATCTTCATATAAAATCTCGACAGAAGCATTCTCAGAAACTTCTTTGTGATATGTGCATTCAAGTCACAGAGTTGAATATTCCCTTTCACAGAGTAGGTTTGAAACACTCTTTTTGTAGTATCTGGAAGTTGACATTTGGAGCGCCTTGACACCTACGGTGAAAAGGGAAATATCTTCCCATAAAAACTAGACAGAAGCAATCTCAGAATCTTCTTTGGGATATATGCACGCAGCTAATAGAGTTGAACTTTTCTATTGACAGAGCAGATTTGAAACAGTCTTTCTGTGGAATCTGCAAGTGGATATTTGGATAGCCTGGAGGATTACGTTGGAAACGGGATTACGTATAAAAAGTAGACAGCAGCATCCTCAGAAACTTCTTTGTGATGTGTGCATTCAAGTCACAGAGTTGAACATTCCCTTTCGTACAGCAGTTTCGAAACACTCTTTCTGTAGTATCTGGAAGTGAACATTAGGACAGCTTTCAGGTCTATGGTGAGAAAGGAAATATCTTCAAATAAAAACTAGACAGAAGAATTCTGATAAACTTGTTTGTGAAGTGTGAACTCAGATAACACAAGTGGATCTTTCTTTTGATACAGCAGTTTTGAAAAACACTTTGTTGAATCTGCAAGTGGACATTTGGATAGATTTGAAGATTTCGTTGGAAACGGGTATATCTTCATAACAAATCTAGACAGAAGCATTCTCAGAAACGTCTTTGTCATGTTTGCATTCAACTCATAGAGTTGAACATTCCGTTTCAGAGAGCAGCTTTGAAACACTCTTTTTGTAGTATGTGCAAGTGGATATTTGGAGCGCTCTGAGGCCTACGGTGAAAAAGCAAATATCTTCCCATAACCACTAGACAGAAACATTCTCAGAAACTCCTTTATGACGTATGCACTCACCTAACAGAGAAGAACCTTCCTTTTGACAGAGCAGTTTTGATACACTCTTTTTGTAGAATCTGCAAGTGGATATTTGGATAGCTGTGAAGATTTCGTTGCAAACGGGAATATCTTCCTATAAAATCTAGACAGAAGCATTCTCAGAAACTGCTCTGTGATGTCTGCATTCAAGTCACAGAGTTGAACATTGCCTTTCATAGAGCAGGTTTGAAACGCTCTTTTTGTAGTATATGGAAGTGGACGTTTCGGACGGTTTGAGGCCCATGGTGTTAAAGGGAATATCTCCCCTACAAGCTAGAAAGAAGCATTCTGTGAAACTTGTTTGTGATGTGTGTACTCAACTAATAGAGTTGAACCTTTCTTTTTACAGAGCAGTTTTGAAACACTCTTTTTGTAGAATCTGCGAGGGGATATTTGGATAGATTTCAGGATTTCGTTGGAAACGGGAATATCTTCATAGAAAATCTCGATAGAAGCATTCTCAGAAACTTCTTTGTGATATCTGCATTCAAATCACAGAGTTGAATATTCCCTTTCACAGAGTAGGTTTGAAACACTCTTTTTGTAGTATCTGGAAGTGGACATTTGGAGCGCTTTGACGCCTACGGTGAAAAGGGAAATATCTTCCCATAAAAACTAGACAGAAGCAATCTCAGAATCTTCTTTGGGATATATGCACGCAGCTAACAGAGTTGAACCTTTCTATTGACAGAGCAGTTTTGAAACAGTCTTTCTGTGGAATCTGCAAGTGGATATTGGATAGCTTGGAGGATTTCGTTGGAAACGGGATTACGTATAAAAAGTAGAACAGCAGCATCCTCAGAAACTTCTTTGTGATGTGTGCATTCAAGTCACAGAGTTGAACATTCCCTTTCGTACAGCAGTTTTGAAACACTCTTTCTGTAGTATCTGGAAGTGAACATTAGGACAGCTTTCAGGTCTATGGTGAGAAAAGAAATATCTTCAAATAAAAACCAGACAGAAACATTCTCATAAACTTGTTTGTGATGTGTGAACTCAGCTAACACAGGTGGATCTTTCTTTTGATAGAGCAGTTCTGAAAAACACTTTTTGTTGAATCTGCAAGTGGACATTTGGATAGATTTGAAGATTTCGTTGGAAACTGGAATATCGTCATATCAAATCTAGACAGAAGCATTCTCGGAAACGTCTTTGTCATGTTTGCATTCAACTCATAGAGTTGAACATTCCGTTTCAGAGAGCAGCTTTGAAGCACTCTTTTTATAGTATCTGCAAGGGGATATTTGGAGTGCTCTGAGGCCTAAGGTGAAAAAGCAAATATCTTCCCATAACCACTAGACAGAAACATTCTCAGAAACTCCTTTATGACGTATGTACTCAACTAACAGAGAAGAACCTTCCTTTTGACAGAGCAGTTTGAATACACTCTTTTTGTAGAATCTGCAAGTGGATATTTGGATAGCTGTGAAGATTTCGTTGGAAACGGGAATATCTTCCTATAAAATCTATACAGAAGCATTCTCAGCAAACTGCTCTGTGATGTCTGCATTCAAGTCACAGAGTTGAACATTGCTTTTCATAGAGCAGGTTTGAAACGCTCTTTTTGTAGTATATGGAAGTAGACGTTTCGGACGGTTTGAGGCCCATGGTGATAAACGGAATATCTTCCCCTACAAGCTAGAAAGAAGCATTGTGTGAAACTTGTTTGTGATGTGTGTACTCAATTAACAGAGCTGAACCTTTCTTTTTACAGAGCAGTTTTGAAACACTCTTTTTGTAGAATCTGCGAGGGGATATTTGGATACATTTCAGAATTTCGTTGGAAACGGGAATATCTTCATATAAAATCTCGACAGAAGCATTCTCAGAAACTTCTTTGTGATATGTGCATTCAAGTCACAGAGTTGAATATTCCCTTTCACAGAGTAGGTTTGAAACACTCTTTTTGTAGTATCTGGAAGTGGATATTTGGAGCGCCTTGACACCTACGGTGAAAAGGGAAATATCTTCCCATAAAAACTAGACAGAAAGCAATCTCAGAATCTTCTTTGGGATATATGCACGCAGCTAACAGAGTTGAACCTTTCTATTGACAGAGCAGGTTTGAAACAGTCTTTCTGTGGAATCTGCAAGTGGATATTTGGATAGCTTGGAGGATTTCGTTGGAAACGGGATTACGTATAAAAAGTAGACAGCAGCATCCTCAGAAACTTCTTTGTGATGTGTGCATTCAAGTCACAGAGTTGAACATTCCCTTTCGTACAGCAGTTTTGAAACACTCTTTCTGTAGTATCTGGAATTGAACATTAGGACAGCTTTCAGGTCTATGGTGAGAAAGGAAATATCTTCAAATAAAAACTAGACAGAAGCATTCTGATAAACTTGTTTGTGAAGTGTGAACTCAGCTAACAGAGGTGGATGTTTCTTTTGATACAGCAGTTTTGAAAAACACTTTGTTGAATCTGCAAGTGGACATTTGGATAGATTTGAAGATTTCGTTGGAAACGGGAATATCTTCATATCAAATCTAGACAGAAGCATTCTCAGAAACGTCTTTGTGATGTTTGCATTCAACTCATAGGGTTGAACATTCCCTTTCAGAGAGCAGCTTTGAAGCACTCTTTTTGTAGCATGTGCAAGTGGACATTTGGAGCGCCCTGAGGCCTACGGGGAAAAAGCAAATATCTTCCCATAACCACTAGACAGAAACATTCTCAGAAATTTCTTTATGACGAATGTACTCAACTAGCAGAGAAGAGCTTTCCTTTTGACAGAGCATTTTTGATACACTTTTTTAGTATCTGCAAGTGGATATTTGAATAGCTGTGAAGATTTCGTTGGAAACGGGAATATCTTCCTATAAACTCTGGACAGAAGCATTCTCAGAAACTGCTCTGTGATGTCTGCATTCAAGTCACAGAGTTGAACATTGCCGTTCATAGAGCAGGTTTGAAACACTCTTTTTGTAGTATATGGAAGTGGACGTTTCGGACGGTTTGAGGCCCATGGTGATAAAGGGAATATCTTCCCCTACAAGCTAGAAAGAAGCATTCTGTGAAACTTGTTTGTGATGTGTGTACTCAACTAACAGAGTTGAACCTTTCTTTTTACAGAGCAGTTTTGAAACACTCTTTTTGTAGAATCTGCGAGGGCATATTTGGATAGATTTCAGAATTTCGTTGGAAAGGGGATTATCTTCATATAAAATCTCGACAGAAGCATTCTCAGAAACTTCTTTGTGATATCTCCATTCAAGTCACAGAGTTGAATATTCCCTTTCACAGAGTAGGTTTGAAACACTCTTTTTGTAGTATCTGGAAGTGGACATTTGGAGCGCCTTGACGCCTACGGTGAAAAGGGAAATATCTTCCCATAAAAACTAGACAGAAGCAATCTCAGAATCTTCTTTGGGATATATGCACGCAGCTAACAGAGTTGAACCTTTCTATTGACAGAGCAGTTTTGAAACAGTCTTTCTGTGGAATCTGCAAGTGGATATTTGGATAGATTGGAGGATTTCGTTGGAAACGGGATTATGTATAAAAAGTAGACAGCAGCATCCTCAGAAACTTATTTGTGATGTGTGCATTCAAGTCACAGAGTTGAACATTCCCTTTCATACAGCAGTTTTGAAACACTCTTTCTGTAGTATCTGGAAGTGAACATTAGGACAGCTTTCAGGTCTATGGTGAGAAAGGAAATATCTTCAAATAAAAACTAGACAGAAGCATTCTCATAAACTTGTTCGTGATGTGTGAACTCAGCTAACACACGTGGATCTTTCTTTTGATAGAGCAGTTCTGAAAAACACTTTTTGTTGAATCTGCAAGAGGACAGTTGGATAGATTTGAAGGTTTCGTTGGAAACGGGAATATCTTCATATCAAATCTAGACAGAAGCATTCTCAGAAACGTCTTTGCGATGTTTGCATTCAACTCATAGAGTTGCACATTCCGTTTCAGAGAGCAGCTTTGAGGCACTCTTTTTGTAGTATGTGCAAGTGGATATTTGGAGCGCTCTGAGGCCTACGGTGAAAAAGCAAATATCTTCCCATAACCACTAGACAGAAACATTCTCAGAAACTCCTTTATGACGTATGTACTCAACTAACAGAGAAGAACCTTCCTTTTGACAGAGCATTTTTGATACACTCTTTTTGTAGAATCTGCAAGTGGATATTTGGATAGCTGTGAAGATTTCGTTGGAAACGGGAATATCTTCCTATAAAATCTAGACAGAAGCATTCTCAGAAACTGCTCTGTGATGTCTGCATTCAAGTCACGGAGTTGAACATTGCCTTTCATAGAGCAGGTTTGAAACGCTCTTTTTGTAGTATATGGAAGTGGACTTATCGGACGGTTTGAGGCCCATGGTGATAAAGGGAATATCTTCCCCTACAAGCTAGAAAGAAGCATTCTGTGAAACTTGTTTGTGATGTGTGTACTCAACTAACAGAGTTGAACCTTTCTTTTCACAGAGCAGTTTTGAAACACTCTTTTTGTAGAATCTGCGAGCGGATATTTGGATAGATTTCAGGATTTCGTTGGAAACGGGAATATCTTCATATAAAATCTCGACGGAAGCATTCTCAGAAACTTCCTTCTGATATGTGCATTCAAGTCACAGAGTTGAATATTCCCTTTCACAGAGTAGGTTTGAAACACTCGTTTTGTAGTATCTGGAAGTGGACATTTGGAGCGCCTTGACGCCTACGGTGAAAAGGGAAATATCTTCCCATAAAAACTAGACAGAAGCAATCTCAGAATCTTCTTTGGGATATATGCACGCAGCTAACAGAGTTGAACCTTTCTATTGACAGAGCAGTTTTGAAACAGTCTTTCTGTGGAATCTGGAAGTGGATATTTGGATAGCTTGGAGGATTTCGTTGGAAACGGGATTACGTATAAAAAGTAGACAGCAGCATCCTCAGAAACTTCTTTGTGATGTGTGCATTCAAGTCACAGAGTTGAACATTCCCTTTCGTACAGCAGTTTTTAAACACTCTTTCTGTAGTATCTGGAAGTGAACATTAGGACAGCTTTCAGGTCTATGGTGAGAAAGGAAATATCTTCAAATAAAAACTAGACAGAAGCATTCTCATAAACATGTTTGCGATGTCTGAACTCAGCTAACAGAGGTGGATCTTTCTTTTGATAGAGCAGTTCTGAAAAACACTTTTTGTTGAATCTGCAAGTGGACATTTGGATAGATTTGAAGATTTCGTTGGAAACGGGAATATCTTCATATCAAATCTAGACAGAAGCATTCTCAGAAACGTCTTTGCGATGTTTGCATTCAACTCATAGAGTTGAACATTCCGTTTCAGAGAGCAGCTTTGAGGCACTCTTTTTGTAGTATGTGCAAGTGGATATTTGGAGCGCTCTGAGGCCTTCGGTGAAAAAGCAAATATCTTCCCATAACCACTAGATGGAAACATTCTCAGAAACTCCTTTATGACGGTATGTACTCACCTAACAGAGAAGAACCTTCCTTTTGACAGAGCAGTTTTGATACACTCTTTTTGTAGAATCTGCAAGTGGATATTTGGATAGCTGTGAAGATTTCGTTGGAAACGGGAATATCTTCCTATAAAATCTAGACAGAAGCATTCTCAGAAACTGCTCTGTGATGTCTGCATTCAAGTCACAGAGTTGAACATTGCCTTTCATAGAGCAGGTTTGAAACGCTCTTTTTGTAGTATATGGAAGTGGACTTATCGGACGGTTTGAGGCCCATTGTGATAAAGGGAATATCTTCCCCTACAAGCTAGAAAGAAGCATTCTGTGAAACTTGTTTGTGATGTGTGTACTCAACTAACAGAGTTGAACCTTTCTTTTTACAGAGCAGTTTTGAAACACTCTTTTTGTAGAATCTGCGAGGGGATATTTGGAGAGATTTCAGGATTTCGTTGGAAACGGGAATATCTTCATATAAATTCTCGACAGAAGCATTCTCAGAAACTTCCTTGTGATATGTGCATTCAAGTCACAGAGTTGAATATTCCCTTTCACAGAGTAGGTTTGAAACACTCTTTTTGTAGTATCTGGAAGTGGACATTTGGAGCGCCTTGACGCCTACGGTGAAAAAGGAAATATCTTCCCATAAAAACTAGACAGAAGCCATCTCAGAATCTTCTTGGGATATATGCACGCAGCTAACAGAGTTGAACCTTTCTATTGACAGAGCAGTTTTGAAACAGTCTTTCTGTGGAATCTGCAAGTGGATATTTGGATAGCTTGGAGGATTTCGTTGGAAACGGGATTACGTATAAAAAGTAGACAGCAGCATCCTCAGAAACTTCTTTGTGATGTGTGCATTCAAGTCACAGAGTTGAACATTCCGTTTCGTACATTAGTTTTGAAACACTCTTTCTGTAGTATCTGGAAGTAAACATTACGACAGCTTTCAGGTCTATGGTGAGAAAAGAAATATCTTCAAATAAAAACTAGACAGAAGCATTCTCATAAACTTGTTTGTGATGTGTGAACTCAGCTAACAGAGGTGGATCTTTCTTTTGATAGAGCAGTTCTGAAAAACTCTTTTTGTTGAATCTGCAAGTGGACATTTGGATAGATTTGAAGATTTCGTTGGAAACGGGAATATCTTCATATCAAATCTAGACAGAGGCATTCTCAGAAACGTCTTTGTGATGTTTGCATTCAACTCATAGAGTTGAACATTCCGTTTCAGAGAGCAGCTTTGAGGCACTCTTTTTGTAGTATGTGCAAGTGGATATTTGGAGCGCTCTGAGGCCTACGGTGAAAAAGCAAATATCTTCCCATAACCACTAGACAGAAACATTCTCAGAAACTCCTTTATGACGTATGCACTCACCTAACAGAAAGGAACCTTCCTTTTGACAGAGCAGTTTTGATACACTCTTTTTGTAGAATCTGCAAGTGGATATTTGGATAGCTGTGAAGATTTCGTTGGAAACGGGAATATCTTCCTATAAAATCTAGACAGAAGCATTCTCAGAAACTGCTCTGTGATGTCTGCATTCAAGTCACAGAGTTGAACATTGCCTTTCATAGAGCAGGTTTGAAACGCTCTTTTTGTAGTATATGGAAGTGGACTTTTCGGACGGTTTGAGGCCCATGGTGATAAAGGGTATATCTTCCCCTACAAGCTAGAAAGAAGCATTCTGTGAAACTTGTTTGTGATGTGTGTACTCAACTAACAGAGTTGAACCTTTCTTTTTACAGAGCAGTTTTGAAACACGCTTTTTGTAGAATCTGCGAGGGGATATTTGGATAGATTTCAGGATTTCGTTGGAAAGGGGAATATCTTCATATAAAATCTCGACAGAAGCATTCTCAGAAACTTCTTTGTGATATGTGCATTCAAGTCACAGAGTTGAATGTTCCCTTTCACAGAGTAGGTTTGAAACACTCTTTTTGTAGTATCTGGAAGTGGACATTTGGAGCGCCTTGACACCTACGGTGAAAAGGGAAATATCTTCCCATAAAAACTAGACAGAAGCAATCTCAGAATCTTCTTTGGGATATATGCACGCAGCTAACAGAGTTGAACCTTTCTATTGACAGAGCAGTTTTGAAACAGTCTTTCTGTGGAATCTGCAAGTGGATATTTGGATAGCTTGGAGGATTTCGTTGGAAACGGGATTAGGTATAAAAGTAGACAGCAAGCATTCTCATAAACTTGTTTGTGATGTGTGAACTCAACTAACACACGTGGATCTTTCTTTTGATAGAGCAGTTCTGAAAAACACTTTTTGTTGAATCTGCAAGTGGACATTTGGATAGATTTGAAGATTTCGTTGGAAACGGGAATATCTTCATATCAAATCTAGACAGAAGCATTCTCATAAACTTGTTTGTGATGTGTGAACTCAGCTAACACACGTGGATCTTTCTTTTGATAGAGCAGTTCTGAAAAACACTTTTTGTTGAATCTGCAAGTGGACATTTGGATAGATTTGAAGATTTCTTTGGAAACGGGAATATCTTCATATCAAATCTAGACAGAAGCATTCTCAGAAACGTCTTTGTGATGTTTGCATTCAACTCTTAGAGTTGAACATTCCCTTTCAGAGAGCAGCTTTGAAGCACTCTTTTTGTAGTATGTGCAAGGGGATATTTGGAGCGCTCTGAGGCCTACGGTGAAAAAGCAAATATCTTCCCATAACCACTAGACAGAAACATTCTCAGAAACTTCTTTATGACGTATGTACTCAACTAGCAGAGAAGAACTTTCCTTTTGATAGAGCATTTTTGATACACTCTTTTTGTACTATCTGCAAGTGGATATTTGGATAGCTGTGAAGATTTCGTTGGAAACGGGAATATCTTCCTATAAAGTCTGGACAGAAGCATTCTCAGAAACTGCTCTGTGATGTCTGCATTCAAGTCACAGAGTTGAACATTGCCTTTCATAGAGCAGGTTTGAAATGCTCTTTTTGTAGTATATGGAAGTGGACTTTTCGGACGGTTTGAGGCCCATGGTGATAAAGGGAATATCTTCCCCTACAAGCTAGAAAGAAGCATTCTGTGAAACTTGTTTGTGATGTGTGTACTCAACTAACAGAGTTGAACCTTTCTTTTTACAGAGCAGTTTTGAAACACTCTTTTTGTAGAATCTGCGAGGGGATATTTGGATAGATTTCAGGATTTCGTTGGAAAGGGGAATATCTTCATATAAAATCGCGACAGAAGCATTCTCAGAAACTTCCTTGTGATATGTGCATTCAAGTCACAGAGTTGAATATTCCCTTTCACAGAGTAGGTTTGAAACACTCTTTTTGTAGTATCTGGAAGTGGACATTTGGAGCGCCTTGACGCCTACGGTGAAAAGGGAAATATCTTCCCATCAAAACTAGACAGAAGAAATCTCAGAATCATCTTTGGGATATATGCACGCAGCTAACAGAGTTGAACCTTTCTATTGACAGAGCAGATTTGAAACAGTCTTTCTGTGGAATCTGCAAGTGGATATTTGGATAGCTTGGAGGATTTCGTTGGAAACGGGATTACGTATAAAAAGTAGACAGCAGCATCCTCAGAAACTTCTTTGTGATGTGTGCATTCAAGTCAAAGAGTTGAACATTCCCTTTCGTACAGCAGTTTTGAAACACTCTTTCTGTAGTATCTGGAAGTGAACATTAGGACAGCTTTCAGGTCTATGGTGAGAAAGGAAATATCTTCAAATAAAAACTAGACAGAAGCATTCTCATAAACTTGTTTGTGTTGTGTGAACTCAGCTAACAGAGGTGGATCTTTCTTTTGATAGAGCAGTTCTGAAAAACACTTTTTGTTGAATCTGCAAGTGGACATTTGGATAGATTTGAAGATTTCGTTGGAAACGGGAATATCTTCATATCAAATCTAGACAGAAGCATTCTCAGAAACGTCTTTGTGATGTTTGCATTCAACTCATAGAGTTGAACATTCCCTTTCAGAGAGGCAGCTTTGAAGCACTCTTTTTGTAGCATGTGCAAGTGGACATTTGGAGCGCCCTGAGGCCTACGGGGAAAAAGCAAATATCTTCCCATAACCACTAGACAGAAACATTCTCAGAAACTCCTTTATGACGTTTGTACTCAACTAACAGAGAAGAACCTTCCTTTTGACAGAGCAGTTTTGATACACTCTTTTTGTAGAATCTGCAAGTGGATATTTGGATAGCTGTGAAGATTTCGTTGGAATCGGGAATATCTTCCTATAAAATCTAGACAGAAGCATTCTCAGAAACTGCTCTGTGATGTCTGCATTCAAGTCACAGAGTTGAACATTGCCTTTCATAGAGCAGGTTTGAAACGCTTTTTTGTAGTATATGGAAGTGGATGTTTCGGACGGTTGGAGGCCCATGGTGATAAAGGGAATATCTTCCCCTACAAGCTAGAAAGAAGCATTCTGTGAAACTTGTTTGTGATGTGTGTACTCAACTAACAGAGTTGAACCTTTCTTTTTACAGAGCAGTTTTGAAACACTCTTTTTGTAGAATCTGCGAGGGGATATTTGGATAGATTTCAGGATTTTGTTGGAAACCGGAATATCTTCATATAAAATCTCGACAGAAGCATTCTCAGAAGCTTCTTTGTGATATGTGCATTCAAGTCACAGAGTTGAATATTCCCTTTCACAGAGTAGGTTTGAAACACTCTTTTTCTAGTATCTGGAAGTGGACATTTAGAGCGCCTTGACGCCTACGGTGAAAAGGGAAATATCTTCTCATAAAAAGTAGACAGAAGCAATCTCAGAATCTTCTTTGGGATATATGTACGCAGCTAACAGAGTTGAACCTTTCTATTGACAGAGCAGTTTTGAAACAGTCTTTCTGTGGAATCTGCAAGTGGATATTTGGATAGCTTGGAGGATTTCGTTGGAAACGGGATTACGTATAAAAAGTAGACAGCAGCATTCTCAGAAACTGCTCTGTGATGTCTGCATTCAAGTCACAGAGTTGAACATTCCCTTTCATACAGCAGTTTTGAAACACTCTTTCTGTAGTATCTGGAAGTGAACATTAGGACAGCTTTCAGGTCTATGGTGAGAAAGGAAATATCTTCAAATAAAAACTAGACAGAAGCATTCTCTTAAACTTGTTTGTGATGTGTGAACTCAGCTAACAGATGTGGATCTTTCTTTTGATATAACAGTTTTGAAAAACTCTTTTTGTTGAATCTGCAAATGGACATTTGGATAGATTTGAAGATTTCGTTGGAAACGGGAATATCTTCATATCAAATCTAGACAGAAAGCATTGTCAGAAACGTCTTTGTGATGTTTGCATTCAACTCACAGAGTTGAACATTCCCTTTCAGAGAGCAGCTTTGAAGCACTCTTTTTGTAGTATGTGCAAGTGGATATTTGGAGCTCTCTGAGGCCTAAGGTGAAAAAGCAAATATCTTCCCATAACCACTAGACAGAAACATTCTCAGAAACTCCTTTATGACGTATGCACTCACCTAACAGAGAAGAACCTTCCTTTTCACAGAGCAGTTTTGATACACTCTTTTTGTAGAATCTGCAAGTGGATATTTGGATAGCTGTGAAGATTTCGTTGGAAACGAGGAATATCTTCCTATAAAATCTAGACAGAAGCATTCTCAGAAACTGCTCTGTGATGTCTGCATTCAAGTCACAGAGTTGAACATTGCCTTTCCTAGAGCAGGTTTGAAATGCTGTTTTTGTAGTATATGGAAGTGGACGTTTCGGACGGTTTGAGGCCCTTGGTGATAAAGGGAATATCTTCCCCTACAAGCTAGAAAGAAGCATTCTGTGAAACTTGTTTGTGATGTGTGTACTCAACTAACAGAGTTGAACCTTTCTTTTTACAGAGCAGTTTTGAAACACTCTTTTTGTACAATCTGCGAGGGGATATTTGGATAGATTTCAGGATTTCGTTGGAAACGGGAATATCTTCATATAAAATCTCGACAGAAGCATTCTCAGAAACTTCTTTGTGATATGTGCATTCAAGTCACAGAGTTGAATATTCCCTTTTACAGAGTAGGTTTGAAACACTCTTTTTGTAGTATCTGGAAGTGAACATTTGGAGCGCCTTGACGCCTACGGTGAACAGGGAAATATCTTCTCATAAAAAGTAGACAGAAGCAATCTCAGAATCTTCTTTGGGATATATGTACGCAGCTAACAGAGTTGAACCTTTCTATTGACAGACCCGTTTTGAAACAGTCTTTCTGTGGAATCTGCAAGTGGATATTTGGATAGCTTGGAGGATTTCTTTGGAAACGGGATTACGTATAAAAAGTAGACAGCAGCATCCTCAGCAAACTTCTTTGTGATGTGTGCATTCAAGTCACAGAGTTGAACATTCCCTTTCGTACAGCAGTTTTGAAATACTCTTTCTGTAGTAACTGGAAGTGAACATTAGGACAGCTTTCAGGTCTATGGTGAGAAAGGAAATATCTTCAAATAAAAACTAGACAGAAGCATTCTCATAAACTTGTTTGTGATGTGTGAACTCAGCTAACACACGTGGATTTTTCTTTTGATAGAGCAGTTCTGAAAAACAATTTTTGTAGAATCTGCAAGTGGACATTTGGATAGATTTGAAGATTTCCTTGGAAACGGGAATATCTTCATATCAAATCTAGACAGAAGCATTCTCAGAAACGTCTTTGTCATGTTTGCATTCAACTCATAGAGTTGAACATTCCGTTTCAGAGAGCAGCTTTGAAGCACTCTTTTTGTAGTATGTGCAAGCGGATATTTGGAGCGCTCTGAGGCCTACGGTGAAAAAGCAAATATCTTCCCATAACCACTAGACAGAAACATTCTCAGAAACTCCTTTATGACGTATGCACTCACCTAACAGAGAAGAACCTTCCTTTTGACAGAGCAGTTTTGATACACTCTTTTTGTAGAATCTGCAAGTGGATATTTTGATACCTGTGAAGATTTCGTTGGAAACGGGAATATCTTCCTATAAAATCTAGACAGAAGCATTCTCAGAAACTGCTCTGCGATGTCTGCATTCAAGTCACAGAGTTGAACATTGCCTTTCCTAGAGCAGGTTTGAAATGCTCTTTTTGTAGTATATGGAAGTGGACGTTTCGGACGGTTTGAGGCCCATGGTGATAAAGGGAATATCTTCCCCTACAAGCTAGAAAGAAGCATTCTGTGAAACTTGTTTGTGAGGTGTGTACTCAACTAACAGAGTTGAACCTTTCTTTTTACAGAGCAGTTTTGAAACACTCTTTTTGTAGAATCTGCGAGGGGATATTTGGATAGATTACAGGATTTCGTTGGAAACGGGAATATCTTCATATAAAATCTCGACAGAAGCATTCTCAGAAACTTCTTTGTGATATCTGCCTTCAAGTCACAGGGTTGAATATTCCCTTTCACAGAGTAGGTTTGAAACACTCTTTTTGTAGTATCTGGAAGTGGACATTTGGAGCGCCTTGACGCCTACGGTGAAAAGGGAAATATCTTCCCATAAAAACTAGACAGAAGCAATCTCAGAATCTTCTTTGGGATATATGCACGCAGCTAACAGAGTTGAACCTTTCTATTGACAGAGCAGTTTTGAAACAGTCTTTCTGTGGAATCTGCAAGTGGATATTTGGTAGCTTGGAGGATTTCGTTGGAAACGGGATTACGTATCAAAAGTAGACAGCAGCATCCTCAGAAACTTCTTTGTGATGTGTGCATTCAAGTCACAGAGTTGAACATTCCCTTTCGTACAGCAGTTTTGAAACACTCTTTCTGTAGTATCTGGAAGTGAACATTAGGACAGCTTCAGGTCTATGGTGAGAAAGGAAATATCTTCAAATAAAAACTAGACAGAAAGCATTCTCATTAACTTGTTTGTGATGTGTGAACTCAGCTAACAGAGGTGGATCTTTCTTTTGATAGAGCAGTTCTGAAAAACATTTTTTGTTGAATCTGCAAGTGGACATTTGGATAGATTTGAAGATTTCGTTGGAAACGGGAATATCTTCATATCAAATCTAGACAGAAGCATTCTCAGAAACGTCTTTGTCATGTTTGCATTCAACTCATAGAGTTGAACATTCCCTTTCAGAGAGCAGGTTTGAAGCACTCTTTTTGTAGTATGTGCAAGTGGATATTTGGAGCGCTCTGAGGCCTACGGTGAAAAAGCAAATATCTTCCCATAACCACTAGACAGAAACATTCTCAGAAACTCCTTTATGACGTATGCACTCACCTAACAGAGAAGAACCTTCCTTTTGACAGAGCAGTTTTGATACACTCTTTTTGTAGAATCTGCAAGTGGATATTTGGATAGCTGTGAAGATTTCGTTGGAAACGGGAATATCCTCCTATAATACCTAGACAGAAGCATTCTCAGAAACTGCTCTGTGATGTCTGCATTCAAGTCACAGAGTTGAACATTGCCTTTCATAGAGCAGGTTTGAAATGCTCTTTTTGTAGTATATGGAAGTGGACGTTTCAGACTGTTTGAGGCCCATGGTGATAAAGGGAATATCTTCCCCTACAAGCTAGAAAGATAGCATTCTGTGAAACTTGTTTGTGATGTGTGTACTCAACTAACAGAGTTGAACCTTTCTTTTTACAGAGCAGTTTTGAAACACTCTTTTTGTAGAATCTGCGAGGGGATATTTGGATAGATTTCAGGATTTCATTGGAAACGGGAATATCTTCATATAAAATCTCGACAGAAGCATTCTCAGAAGCTTCTTTTTGATATGTGCATTCAAGTCACAGAGTTCAATATTCCCTTTCACAGAGTAGGTTTGAAACACTCTTTTTGTAGTATCTGGAAGTGGACATTTGGAGCGCCTTGACGCCTACGGTGAAAAGGGAAATATCTTCTCATAAAAACGTAGACAGAAGTAATCTCAGAATCTTCTTTGGGATATATGCACCCAGCTAACAGAGTTGAACCTTTCTATTGACAGAGCAGTTTTGAAACAGTCTTTCTGTGGAATCTGCAAGTGGATATTTGGATAGCTTGGAGGATTTCGTTGGAAACGGGATTACGTATAAAAAGTAGACAGCAGCATCCTCAGAAGCTTCTTTGTGATGTGTGCATTCAAGTCACAGAGTTGAACATTCCCTTTCGTACAGCAGTTTTGAAACACTCTTTCTGTAGTAACTGGAAGTGAACATTAGGACAGCTTTCAGGTCTATGGTGAGAAAGGAAATATCTTCAAATAAAAACTAGACAGAAGCATTCTCATAAACTTGTTTGTGATGTGTGAACTCAGCTAACAGAGGTGGATCTTTCTTTTGATAGAGCAGTTCTGAAAAACACTTTTGTTGAATCTGCAAGTGGACATTTGGATAGATTTGAAGATTTCGTTGGAAACGGGAATATCTTCATATCAAATCTAGACAGAAGCATTCCCAGAAACGTCTTTGTGATGTTTGCATTCAACTCATAGAGTTGAACATTCCGTTTCAGAGAGCAGCTTTGAAGCACTCTTTTTGTAGTATGTGCAAGGGGATATTTGGAGCGCTCTGAGGCCTACGGTGAAAAAGCAAGTATCTTCCCATAACCACTAGACAGAAACATTCTCAGAAACTCCTTTATGACGTATGCACTCACCTAACAGAGAAGAACCTTCCTTTTGACAGAGCACTTTTGATACACTCTTTTTGTAGAATCTGCAAGTGGATATTTGGATAGCTGTGAAGATTTCGTTGGAAACGGGAATATCTTCCTATAAAATCTAGACAGAAAGCATTCTCAGAAACTGCTCTGTGATGTCTGCATTCAAGTCACAGAGTTGAACATTGCCTTTCATAGAGCAGGTTTGAAACGCTCTTTTTGTAGTATATGTAAGTGGATGTTTCGGACGGTTGGAGGCCCATGGTGATAAAGGGAATATCTTCCCCTACAAGCTAGAAAGAGCATTCTGTGAAACTTGTTTGTGATGTGTGTACTCAACTAACAGAGTTGAACCTTTCTTTTTACAGAGCAGTTTTGAAACACTCTTTTTGTAGAATCTGCGAGCGGATATTTGGATAGATTTCAGCATTTCGTTGGAAACGGGAATATCTTCATATAAAATCTCGACAGATGCATTCTCAGAAACTTCTTTGTGATATGTGCATTCTAGTCACAGAGTTGAATATTCCCTTTCACAGAGTAGGTTTGAAACACTCTTTTTGTAGTATCTGGAAGTGGACATTTGGAGCGCCTTGACGCCTACGGTGAAAAGGGAAATATCTTCCCATAAAAACTAGACAGAAGCAATCTCAGAATCTTCTTTGGGATATATGCACGCAGCTAACAGAGTTGAACCTTTCTATTGACAGAACAGTTTTGAAAGAGTCTTTCTGTGGAATCTGCAAGTGGATATTTGGATAGCTTGGAGGATTTCGTTGGAAACGGGATTACGTATAATAAGTAGACAGCAGCATCCTCAGAAACTACTTTGTGATGTGTGCATTCAAGTCACAGAGTTGAACATTCCCTTTCGTACATCAGTTTTGAAACACTCTTTCTGTAGTATCTGGAAGTGAACACTAGGACAGCTTTCAGGTCTATGGTGAGAAAGGAAATATCTTCAAATAAAAACTAGACAGAAGCATTCTCATAAACTTGTTTGTGATGTGTGAACTCAGCTAACAGAAGTGGATCTTTCTTTTGATAGAGCAGTTCTGAAAAACACTTTTTGTTGAATCTGCAAGTGGACATTTGGATAGATTTGAAGATTTCCCTTGGAAACGGGAATATCTTCATATCAAATCTAGACAGAAGCATTCTCAGAAAACGTCTTTGTGATGTTTGCATTCAACTCATAGAGTTGAACATTCCGTTTCAGAGACCAGCTTTGAAGCACTCTTTTTGTAGTATGTGCAAGTGGATATTTGGAGCGCTCTGAGGCCTACGGTGAAAAAGCAAATATCTTCCCATAACCACTAGACAGAAACATTCTCAGAAACACCTTTAAACGTATGCACTCACCTAACAGAGAAGAACCTTCCTTTTGACAGAGCAGTTTTGATACACTCTTTTTGTAGAATCTGCAAGTGGATATTTGGATAGCTGTGAAGATTTCGTTGGAAACGGGAATATCTTCCTATAAAATCTAGACAGAAGCATTCTCAGAAACTGCTGTGTGATGTCTGCATTCAAGTCACAGAGTTGAACATTGCCTTTCATAGAGCAGGTTTGAAACGCTCTTTTTGTAGTATATGGAAGTGGACGTTTCGGACGGTTTGAGGCCCATGGTGATAAAGGGAATATCTTCCCCTACAAGCTAGAAAGAAGCATTGTGTGAAACTTGTTTGTGATGTGTGTACTCAATAACAGAGTTGAACCTTTCTTTTTACAGAGCAGTTTTGAAACACTCTTTTTGTAGAATCTGCGAGGGGATATTTGGATAGATTTCAGGATTTCGTTGGAAACGGGAATATCTTCATATAAAATCTCGACAGAAGCATTCTCAGAAACTTCTTTGTGATACGTGCATTCTAGTCACACGAGTTGAATATTCCCTTTCACAGAGTAGGTTTGAAACACTCTTTTTGTAGTATCTGGAAGTGGACATTTGGAGCGCCTTGACGCCTACGGTGAAAAGGGAAATATCTTCCCATAAAAACTAGACAGAAGCAATCTCAGAATTTTCTTTGGGATATATGCACACAGCCAACAGAGTTGAACTTTTCTATTGACATAGCAGTTTTGAAACAGTCTTTCTGTGGAATCTGCAAGTGGATATTTGGATAGCTTGGAGGATTTCGTTGGAAACGGGATTACGTATAAAAAGTAGACAGCAGCATCCTGAGAAACTTCCTTGTGATGTGTGCATTCAAGTCACAGAGTTGAACATTCCCTTTCGTACAGCAGTTTTGAAACACTCTTTCTGTAGTATCTGGAAGTGAACATTAGGACAGCTTTCAGGTCTATGGTGAGAAAGGAAATATCTTCAAATAAAAAGTAGACAGAAGCATTCTCATAAACTTGTTTGTGATGTGTGAACTCAGCTAACAGAGGTGGATCTTTCTTTTGATAGAGCAGTTCTGAAAAACACGTTTTGTTAAATCTGCAAGTGGACATTTGGATAGATTTGAAGATTTCGTTGGAAACGGGAATATCGTCATATCAAATCTAGACAGAAGCATTCTCAGAAACGTCTTTGCGATGTTTGCATTCAACTCATAGAGTTGAACATTCCGTTTCAGAGAGCAGCTTTGAGGCACTCTTTTTGTAGTATGTGCAAGTGGATATTTGGAGCGCTCTGAGGCCTACAGTGAAAAAGCAAATATCTTCCCATAACCACTAACAGAAACATTCTCAGAAACTCCTTTATGACGTATGCACTCACCTAACAGAGAAGAACCTTCCTTTTGACAGAGCAGTTTTGGTACACTCTTTTTGTAGAATCTGCAAGTGGATATTTGGATAGCTGTGAAGATTTCGTTGGAAACGGGAATATCTTCCTATAAAATCTAGACAGAAGCATTCTCAGAAAACTGCTCTGTGATGTCTGCATTCAAGTCACAGAGTTGAACATTGCCTTTCCTAGAGCAGGTTTGAAACGCTCTTTTTGTAGTATATGGAAGTGGACGTTTCGGACGGTTTGAGGCCCATGGTGATAAAGGGAATATCTTCCCCTACAAGCTAGAAAGAAGCATTCTGTGAAACTTGTTTGTGAGGTGTGTACTCAACTAACAGAGTTGAACCTTTCTTTTTACAGAGCAGTTTTGAAACACTCTTTTTGTAGAATCTGCGAGGGGATATTTGGATAGATTACAGGATTTCGTTGGAAACGGGAATATCTTCATATAAAATACTCGACAGAAGCATTCTCAGAAACTTCTTTGTGATATCTGCATTCAAGTCACAGAGTTGAATATTGCCTTTCACAGAGTAGGTTTGAAACACTCTTCTTGTAGTATCTGGAAGTGGACATTTTGAGCACCTTGACACCTACGGTGAAAAGGGAAATATCTTCCCATAAAAACTAGACAGAAGCAATCTCAGAATCTTCTTTGGGATATATGCACGCAGCTAACAGAGTTGAACCTTTCTATTGACAGAGCAGTTTTGAAACAGCCTTTCTGTGGAATCTGCAAGTGGATATTTGGATAGCTTGGAGGATTTCGTTGGAAACGGGATTACGTATAATAAGTAGACAGCAGCATCCTCAGTAAACTTCTTTGTGATGTGTGCATTCAAGTCACAGTGTTGAACATTCCCTTTCGTACAGCAGTTTTGAAACACTCTTTCTGTAGTATCTGGAAGTGAACATTAGGACAGCTTTCAGGTCTATGGTGAGAAAGGAAATATCTTCAAATAAAAACTAGACAGAAGCATTCTCATAAACTTGTTTGTGATGTGTGAACTCAGCTAACAGAGGTGGATCTTTCTTTTGATAGAGAAGTTCTGAAAAACACTTTTTGTTGAATCTGCAAGTGGACATTTGGATAGATTTGAAGATTTCGTAGGAAACGGGAATATCTTCATATCAAGTCTAGACAGAAGCATTCTCAGAAACGTCTTTGTGATGTTTGCATTCAACTCATAGAGTTGAACATTCCGTTACAGAGAACAGCTTTGAAGCACTCTTTTTGTAGTATGTGCAAGTGGATATTTGGAGCGCTCTGAGGCCTACGGTGAAAAAGCAAATATCTTCCCATAACCACTAGACAGAAACATTCTCAGAAACTCCTTTATGACGTATGCACTCACGTAACACAGAAGAACCTTCCTTTTGACAGAGCAGTTTTGATACACTCTTTTTGTAGAATCTGCAAGTGGATATTTGGATACCTGTGAAGATTTCGTTGGAAACGGGAATATCTTCCTATAAAATCTAGACAGAAGCATTCTCAGGAACTGCTCTGCGACGTCTGTATTCAAGTCACAGAGTTGAACATTGCCTTTCATAGAGCAGGTTTGAAACGCTCTTTTTGTAGTATATGGAAGTGGACGTTTCGGACGGTTTGAGGCCCATGGTGATAAAGGGAATATCTTCCCCTACAAGCTAGAAAGAAGCATTCTGTGAAACTTGTTTGTGATGTGTGCACTCAACTAACAGAGTTGAACCTTTCTTTTTACAGAGCAGTTTTGAAACACTCTTTTTGTAGAATCTGCGAGGGGATATTTGGATACATTCCTGGATTTCGTTGGAAACGGGAATATCTTCATATAAAATCTCGACAGAAGCATTCTCAGAAACTTCTTTGTGATATGTGCATTCAAGTCACAGAGTTGAATATTCCCTTTCACAGAGTAGGTTTGAAACACTCTTTTTGTAGTATCTGGAAGTGGACATTTGGAGGGCCTTGACACCTACGGTGAAAAGGGAAATATCTTCCCATAAAAACTAGACAGAAGCAATCTCAGAATCTACTTTGGGATATATGCACGCAGCTAACAGAGTTGAACCTTTCTATTGACAGAGCAGTTTTGAAACAGTCTTTCTGTGGAATCTGCAAGTGGATATTTGGATAGCTTGGAGGATTTCGTTGGAAACGGGATTACGTATAAAAAGTAGACAGCAGCATCCTCAGAAACTTCTTTGTGATGTGTGCATTCAAGTCACAGAGTTGAACATTCCCTTTCGTACAGTAGTTTTGAAACACTCTTTCTGTAGTATCTGGAAGTGAACATTAGGACAGCTTTCAGGTCTATGGTGAGAAAGGAAATATCTTCAAATAAAAACTAGACAGAAGCATTCTCATAAACTTGTTTGTGATGTGTGAACTCAGCTAACAGAGGTGGATCTTTCTTTTGATAGAGCAGTTCTGAAAAACACTTTTTGTTGAATCTGCAAGTGGACATTTGGATAGATTTGAAGATTTCGTTGGAAACGGGAATATCTTCATATTAAATCTAGACAGAAGCATTCTCAGAAACGTCTTTGTGATGTTAGCATTCAACTCATAGAGTTGAACATTCCCTTTCAGAGAGCAGCTTTGAAGCACTCTTTTTGTAGTATGTGCAAGTGGACATTTGGAGCGCTTTGAGGCCTACAGGGAAAAAGCAAATATCTTCCCATAACCACTAGACAGGAACATTCTCAGAAACTCCTTTATGACGTATGCACTCACCTAACAGAGAAGAACCTTCCTTTTGACTGAGCAGTTTTGATACACTCTTTTTGCAGAATCTGCAAGTGGATATTTGGATAGCTGTGAAGATTTCGTTGGAAACGGGAATATCTTCCTATAAAATCTAGACAGAAGCATTCTCAGAAACTGCTCTGTGATGTCTGCATTCAAGTCACAGAGTTGAACACTGCCTTTCCTAGAGCAGGTTTGAAACGCTCTTTTTGTAGTATATGGAAGTGGACGTTTCGGATGGTTTGAGGCCCATAGTGATAAAGGGAATATCTTCCCCTACAAGCTAGAAAGAAGCATTCTCTGAAACTTGTTTGTGATGTGTGTACTCAACTAACAGAGTTGAACCTTTCTTTTTACAGAGCAGTTTTGAAACACTCTTTTTGTAGAATCTGCGAGGGGATATTTGGATAGATTTCAGGATTTCGTTGGAAAGGGGAATATCTTCATATAAAATCTCGACAGAAGCATTCTCAGAAACTTCTTTGTGATATCTGCCTTCAAGTCACAGAGTTGAATATTCCCTTTCACAGAGTAGGTTTGAAACACTCTTTCTGTAGTATCTGGAAGTGGACATTTGGAGCGCCTTGACACCTACGGTGAAAAGGGAAATATCTTCCCATAAAAACAAGACAGAAGCAATCTCAGAATCTTACCTTGGGATATATGCACGCAACTAACAGAGTTGAACCTTTCTATTGACAGAGCAGTTTTGAAACAGTCTTTCTGTGGAATCTGCAAGTGGATATTTGGATAGCTTGGAGGATTTCCTTGGAAACGGGATTACGTATAAAAAGTAGACAGCAGCATCCTCAGAAACTTCTTTGTGATGTGTGCATTCAAGTCACAGAGTTGAACATTTCCCTTTCGTACAGCAGTTTTGAAACACTCTTTCTGTAGTATCTGGAAGTGAACATTAGGACAGCTTTCAGCTCTATGGTGAGAAAGGAAATATCTTCAAATAAAAACTAGACAGAAGCATTCTCATAAACTTGTTTGGATGTGTGAACTCAGCTAACAGAGGTGGATCTTTCTTTTGATAGAGCAGTTCTGAAAAACACTTTTTGTTGAATCTGCAAGTGGACATTTGGATAGATTTGAAGATTTCGTTGGAAACGGGAATATCTTCATATCAAATCTAGACAGAAGCATTCTCAGAAACGTCTTTGCGATGTTTGCATTCAACTCATAGAGTTGAACATTCCGTTTCAGAGAGCAGCTTTGAAGCACTCTTTTTGTAGTATGTGCAAGTGGATATTTGGAGCGCTCTGAGGCCTACGGTGAAAAAGCAAATATCTTCCCATAACCACTAACAGAAACATTCTCAGAAACTCCTTTATGACGTATGCACTCACCTAACAGAAAAGAACCTTCCTTTTGACAGAGCAGTTTTGATACACTCTTTTTGTAGAATCTACAAGTGGATATTTGGATAGCTGTGAAGATTTCGTTGGAAACGGGAATATCTTCCTATAAAATCTAGACAGAAGCATTCTCAGAAACTGCTCTGTGATGTCTGCATTCAAGTCACAGAGTTGAACATTGCCTTTCATAGAGCAGGTTTGAAACGCTCTTTTTGTAGTATATGGAAGTGGACTTTTCGGACGGTTGGAGGCCCATGGTGATAAAGGGAATATCTTCCCCTACAAGCTAGAAAGAAGCATTGTGTGAAACTTGTTTGTGATGTGTGTACTCAACTAACAGAGTTGAACCTTTCTTTTTACAGAGCAGTTTTGAAACACTCTTTTTGTAGAATCTGCGAGGGGATATTTGGATACATTTCAGGATTTCGTTGGAAACCGGGAATATCTTCATATAAAATCTCGACAGAAGCATTCTCAGAAACTTCTTTGTGATATCTGCATTCAAGTCACAGAGTTGAATATTCCCTTCCACAGAGTAGGTTTGAAACACTCTTTTTGTGGTATCTGGAAGTGGACATTTGGAGCGCCTTGACGCCTACGGTGAAAAGGGAAATATCTTCCCATAAAAACTAGACAGAAGCAATCTCAGAATCTTCTTTGAGATATATGCACGCAGCTAACAGAGTTGAACCTTTCTATTGACAGAGCAGTTTTGAAACAGTCTTTCTGTGGAATCTGCAAGTGGATATTTGGATAGCTTGGAGGATTTCGTTGGAAACGGGATTACGTATAAAAAGTAGACAGCAGCATCCTCAGAAACTTCTTTGTGATGTGTGCATTCAAGTCACAGAGTTGAACATTCCCTTTCGTACAGCAGTTTTGAAACGCTCTTTCTGTAGTATCTGGAAGTGAACATTAGGACAGCTTTCAGGTCTATGTTGAGAAAGGAAATATCTTCAAATAAAAACTAGACAGAAGCATTCTCATAAACTTGTTTGTGATGTCTGAACTCAGCTAACAGAGGTGGATCTTTCTTTTGATAGAGCAGTTCTGAAAAACACTTTTTGTTGAATCTGCAAGTGGACATTTGGATAGATTTGAAGATTTCGTTGGAAACGGGAATATCTTCATAGCAAATCTAGACAGAAGCATTCTCAGGAAACGTCTTTGTGATGTTTGCATTCAACTCATAGAGTTGAACATTCCCTTTCAGAGAGCAGCTTTGAAGCACTCTTTTTGTAGTATGTGCAAGGGGATATTTGGAGCGCTCTGAGGCCTAAGGTGAAAAAGCAAATATCTTCCCATAACCACTAGACAGAAACATTCTCAGAAACTCCTTTATGACGTATGCACTCACCTAACAGAGAAGAACCTTCCTTTTGACAGAGCATTTTTGATACACTCTTTTTGTAGCATCTGCAAGTGGATATTTGGATATCTGTGAAGATTTCGTTGGAAACGGGAATATCTTCCTATAAAATCTAGACAGAAGCATTCTCAGAAACTGCTTTGTGATGTCTGCATTCAAGTCACAGAGTTGAACATTGCCTTTCATAGAGCAGGTTTGAAACGCTCTTTTTGTAGTATATGGAAGTGGATGTTTCGAACGGTTTGAGGCCCATGGTGATAAAGGAAATATCTTCCCCTAGAAGCGAGAAAGAAGCATTCTGTGAAACTTGTTTGTGATGTGTGTACTCAACTAACAGAGTTGAACCTTTCTTTTCACAGGGCAGTTTTGAAACACTCTTTTTGTAGAATCTGCGATGGGATATTTGGATAGATTTCAGGATTTCGTGGGAAACGGGAATATCTTCATATAAAATCTCGACAGAAGCATTCTCAGAAACTTCTTTGTGATATGTGCATTCAAGTCACAGAGTTCAATATTCCCTTTCACAGAGTAGGTTTGAAACACTCTTTTTGTAGTATCTGGAAGTGGACATTTGGAGCGCCTTGACGCCTACGGTGAAAAGGGAAATATCTTCTCATAAAAAGTAGACAGAAGCAATCTCAGAATCTTCTTTGGGATATATGCACGCAGCTAACAGAGTTGAACCTTTCTATGGACAGAGTAGTTTTGAAACAGTCTTTCTGTGGAATCTGCAAGTGGATATTTGGATAGCTTGGAGGATTTCGTTGGAAACGGGATTACGTATAAAAAGTAGACAGCAGCATCCTCAGAAACTTCTTTGTGATGTGTGCATTCAAGTCACAGAGTTGAACATTCCCTTTCGTACAGCAGTTTTGAAACACTCTTCCTGTAGTATCTGGAAGTGAACATTAGGACAGCTTTCAGGTCTATGGTGAGAAAGGAAATATCTTCAAATAAAAACTAGACAGAAGCATTCTCATAAACTTGTTTGTGATGTGTGAACTCAGCTAACAGAGGTGGATCTTTCTTTTGATAGAGCAGTTCTGAAAAACACTTTTTGTTGAATCTGCAAGTGGACATTTGGATAGATTTGAAGATTTCGTTGGAAACGGGAATATCTTCATATCAAATCTACACAGAAGCATTCTCAGAAACGTCTTTGTGATGTTTGCATTCAACTCATAGAGTTGAACATTCCCTTTCAGAGAGCAGCTTTGAAGCACTCTTTTTGTAGTATGTGCAAGTGGATATTTGGAGCGCTCTGAGGCCTACGGGGAAAAGCAAATATCTTCCCATAACCACTAGACAGAAACATTCTCAGAAACTTCTTTATGACGTATGTACTCAACTAGCAGAGAAGAACTTTCCTTTTGACAGAGCACTTTTGATACACTCTTTTTGTAGTATCTGCAAGTGGATATTTGGATAGCTGTGAAGATTTCGTTGGAATCGGGAATATCTTCCTATAAAGTCTGGACAGAAGCATTCTCAGAAACTGCTCTGTGATGTCTGCATTCAAGTCACAGAGTTGAACATTGCCTTTCATAGAGCAGGTTTGAAACTCTCTTTTTGTAGTATATGGAAGTGGACGTTTCGGACGGTTGGAGGCCCATGGTGATAAAGGGAATATCTTCCCCTACAAGCTAGAAAGAAGCATTCTGTGAAAGTTGTTTGTGATGTGTGTACTCAACTAACAGAGTTGAACCTTTCTTTTTACAGAGCAGTTTTGAAACACTCTTTTTGTAGAATCTGCGAGAGGATATTTGGATAGATTTCAGGATTTCGTTGGAAACGGGAATATCTTCATATAAAATCTCGACAGAAGCATTCTCAGAAACTTCTTTGTGATATGTGCATTCAAGTCACAGAGGTGAATATTCCCTTTCACAGAGTAGGTTTGAAACACTCTTTTTGTAGTATCTGGAAGTGGACATTTGGAGCGCCTTGACGCCTACGGTGAAAAGGGAAATATCTTCCCATAAAAACTAGACAGAAGCAATCTCAGAATCCTCTTTGGGATATATGCACGCAGCTAACAGAGTTGAACCTTTCTATTGACAGAGCAGTTTTGAAACAGTCTTTCTGTGGAATCTGCAAGTGGATATTTGGATAGCTTGGAGGATTTCGTTGGAAACGGGATTACGTATAAAAAGTAGACAGCAGAATTCTCAGAAAGATTTTGTGATATCTGCATTGAAGTCACAGAGTTCAATATTCCCTTTCACATAGAAAGTTTGAAACACTCTTTTTGTAGTACCTGGAAGTGAACATTTCGAGAGCTTTCAGGACTATGGTGAGAAAGGAAATATCTTCAAATAAAAACAAGACAGAAGCATTCTCACAAACTTGTTTGTGTTGTGTGAACTCAACAAACAAAGGTGGATCTTTCTTTTGATACAGCAATTTTGAAAAACACTTTTTGTAGAATCTCCAAGTGGATATTTGGATAGATTTGAAGATTTCTTTGGAAACGGGAATATCTTCATATAAAATCTAGACAGAAGCATTCTCAGAAACGTCTTTGTGATGTTTGCATTCAACTCATAGAGTTGAACATTCCCTTTCAGAGAGCAGCTGTGAAGCACTCTTTTTGTAGTATGTGCAAGTGGATATTTGGAGCGCTCTGAGGCCTACGGTGAAAAAGCAAATATCTTCCCATAACCACTAGACAGAACCATTCTCAGAAACTCCTTTATGACGTATGCACTCACCTAACAGAGAAGAACCTTCCTTTTGACAGAGCAGTTTTGATACACTCTTTTTGTAGAATCTGCAAGTGGATATTTGGATAGCTGTGAAGATTTCGTTGGAAACGGGAATATCTTCCTATAAAATCTAGACAGAAGCATTCTCAGAAACTGCTCTCTGATGTCCGCATTCAAGTCACAGAGTTGAACATTGCCTTTCCTAGAGCAGGTTTGAAACGCTCTTTTGGTAGTATATGGAAGTGGACGTTTCGGACGGTTTGAGGCCCATGGTGATAAAGGGAATATCTTCCCCTACAAGCTAGAAAGAAGCATTGTGTGAAACTTGTTTGTGATGTGTGTACTCAACTAACAGAGTTGAACCTTTCTTTTTACAGAGCAGTTTTGAAACACTCTTTTTGTAGAATCTGCAAGGGGATATTTGGATACATTTCAGGATTTCGTTGGAAACGGGAATATCTTCATATAAAATACTCGACAGAAGCATTCTCAGAAACTTCTTTGTGATATGTGCATTCAAGTCACAGAGTTGAATATTCCCTTTCATAGAGTAGGTTTGAAACACTCTTTTTGTAGTATCTGGAAGTGGACATTTGGAGCGCCTTGACGCCTACGGTGAAAAGGGAAATATCTTCCCATAAAAACTAGACAGAAGCAATCTCAGCATCTTCTTTGGGATATATGCATGCAGCTAACAGAGTTGAACCTTTCTATTGACAGAGCAGTTTTGAAACAGTCTTTCTGTGGAATCTGCAAGTGGATATTTGGATAGCTTGGAGGATTTCGTTGGAAACGGGATTACGTATAAAAAGTAGACAGCAGCATCCTCAGAAACTTCTTTGTGATGTGTGCATTCAAGTCACAGAGTTGAATATTCCCTTTCACAGAGTTGGTTTGAAACACTCTTTTTGTACTATCTGGAAGTGGACATTTGGAGCGCCTTGACACCTACGGTGAAAAGGGAAATATCTTCCCATAAAAACTAGACAGAAGCATTCTCATAAACTTGTTTGTGATGTGTGAACTCAGCTAACACAGGTGGATCTTTCTTTTGATTGAGCAGTTCTGAAAAACACGTTTTGTTGAATCTGCAAGTGGACATTTGGATAGATTTGAAGATTTCGTTGGAAACGGGAATATCTTCATATCAAATCTAGACAGAAGCATTCTCAGGAAACGTCTTTGTGATGTTTGCATTCAACTCATAGAGTTGAACATTCACTTTCAGAGAGCAGCTTTGAAGCACTCTTTTTGTAGTATGTGCAAGTGGATATTTTGATCGCTCTGTGGCCTACGGTGAAAAAGCAAATATCTTCCCATAACCACTAGACAGAAACATTCTCAGAAACTCCCTTATGACGTATGCACTCACCTAACAGAGAAGAACCTTCCTTTTGACAGAGCAGTTTTGATACACTCTTTTTGTAGAATCTGCAAGTGGATATTTGGATAGCTGTGAAGATTTCGTTGGAAACGGGAATATCTTCCTATAAAATCTATACAGAAGCATTCTCAGAAACTGCTCTGTGATGTCTGCATTCAAGTCACAGAGTTGAACATTGCCTTTCCTAGAGCAGGTTTGAAACGCTCTTTTTGTAGTATATGGAAGTGGACGTTTCGGACGGTTTGAGGCCCTTGGTGATAAAGGGAATATCTTCCCCTACAAGCTAGAAAGAAGCATTCTGTGAAACTTGTTTGTGATGTGTGTACTCAACTAACAGAGTTGAACCTTTGTTTTTACAGAGCAGTTTTGAAACACTCTTTTTGTAGAATCTGCGAGGGGATATTTGGATACATTTCAGCATTTCGTTGGAAACGGGAATATCTTCATATAAAATCTCGACAGAAGCATTCTCAGAAACTTCTTTGTGATATGTGCATTCAAGTCACAGAGTTGAATATTCCCTTTCACAGAGTAGGTTTGAAACACTCTTTTTCTAGTATCTGGAAGTGGACATTTGGAGCACCTTGACACCTACGGTGAAAAGGGAAATATCTTCTCATAAAAAGTAGACAGAAGCAATCTCAGAATCTTCTTTGGGATATATGTACGCAGCTAACAGAGTTGAACCTTTCTATTGACAGAGCAGTTTTGAAACAGTCTTTCTGTGGAATCTGCAAGTGGATATTTGGATAGCTTGGAGGATTTCGTTGGAAACGGGATTACGTATAAAAAGTAGACAGCAGCATCCTCAGAAACTTCTTTGTGATGTGTGCATTCAAGTCACAGAGTTGAACATTCCCTTTCGTACAGCAGTTTTGAAACACTCTTTCTGTAGTATCTGGAAGTGAACATTAGGACAGCATTCAGGTCTATGGTGAGAAAGGAAATATCTTCAAATAAAAACTAGACAGAAGCATTCTCATAAACTTGTTTGTGATGTGTGAACTCAGCTAACAGAGGTGGATCTTTCTTTTGATAGAGCAGTTCTGAAAAACACTTTTTGTTGAATCTGCAAGTGGACATTTGGATAGATTTGAAGATTTCGTTGGAAACGGGAATATCTTCATATCAAATCTAGATAGAAGCATTCTCAGAAACGTCTTTGTGATGTTTGCATTCAACTCATAGAGTTGAAAATTCCCTTTCAGAGAGCAGCTTTGAAGCACTCTTTTTGTAGTATGTGCAAGGGGATATTTGGAGCGCTCTGAGGCCTAAGGTGAAAAAGCAAATATCTTCCCATAACCACTAGACAGAAACATTCTCAGAAACTCCTTTATGACGTATGTACTCAACTAACAGAGAAGAACCTTCCTTTTGATAGAGCAGTTTTGATACACTCTTTTTGTAGAATCTGCAAGTGGATATTTGGATAGCTGTGAAGATTTCGTTGGAAACTGGAATATCTTCCTATAAAATCTAGACAGAAGCATTCTCAGAAACTGCTCTGTGATGTCTGCATTCAAGTCACTAGAGTTGAACATTGCCTTTCATAGAGCAGGTTTGAAACGCTCTTTTTGTAGTATATGGAAGTGGACGTTTCGGACGGTTTGAGGCCCATGGTGATAAAGGGAATATCTTCCCCTACAAGCTAGAAAGAAGCACTCTGTGAAACTTGTTTGTGATGTGTGTACTCAACTAACAGAGTTGAACCTTTCTTTTTACAGAGCAGTTTTGAAACACTCTTTTTGTAGAATCTGCGAGGGGATATTTGGATAGATTTCAGGATTTCGTTGGAAACGGGAATATCTTCATATAAAATCTCGACAGAAGCATTCTCAGAAACTTCTTTGTGATATGTGCATTCAAGTCACAGAGTTGAATATTCCCTTTCACAGAGTAGGTTTGAAACACTCTTTTTGTAGTATCTGGAAGTGGACATTTGGAGCGCCTTGACACCTACGGTGAAAAGGGAAATATCTTCCCATAAATACTAGACAGAAGCAATCTCAGAATCTCCTTTGGGATATATGCACGCAGCTAACAGAGTTGAACCTTTCTATTGACAGACCAGTTTTGAAACAGTCTTTCTGTGGAATCTGCAAGTGGATATTTGGATAGATTGGAGGATTTCGTTGGAAACGGGATTACGTATAAAAAGTAGACAGCAGCATCCTCAGAAACTTCTTTGTGATGTGTGCATTCAAGTCACAGAGTTGAACATTCTCTTTCGTACAGCAGTTTTGAAATGCTCTTTCTGTAGTATCTGGAAGTGAACATTAGGACAGCTTTCATGTCTATGGTGAGAAAGGAAATATCTTCAAATAAAAACTAGACAGAAGCATTCTCATAAGCTTGTTTGTGATGTGTGAACTCAGCTAACAGAGGTGGATCTTTCTTTTGATAGAGCAGTTCTGAAAAACACTTTTTGTTGAATCTGCAAGTGGACATTTGGATAGATTTGAAGATTTCTTTGGAAACGGGAATATCTTCATATCAAATCTAGACAGAAGCATTCTCAGAAACGTCTTTGCGATGTTTGCATTCAACTCATAGAGTTAAACATTCCGTTTCAGAGAGCAGCTTTGAGGCACTCTTTTTGTAGTATGTGCAAGTGGATATTTGGAGCGCTCTGAGGCCTACGGTGAAAAAGCAAATATCTTCCCATAACCACTAGACAGAAACATTCTCAGAAACTTCTTTATGACGTATGTACTCAACTAGCAGAGAAGAACTTTCCTTTTGACAGAGCATTTTTGATACACTCTTTTTGTACTATCTGCAAGTGGATATTTGGATAGCTGTGAAGATTTCGTTGGATACGGGAATATCTTCCTATAAAGTCTGGACAGAAGCATTCTCAGAAACTGCTCTGTGACGTCTGCATTCAAGTCACAGAGTTGAACATTGCCTTTCATAGAGCAGGTTTGAAACGCTCTTTTTGTAGTATATGGAAGTAGACGTTTCGGACGGTTTGAGGCCCATGGTGATAATGGGAATATCTTCCCCTACAAGCTAGAAAGAAGCATTCTGTGAAACTTGTTTGTGATGTGTGTACTCAACTAACAGAGTTGAACCTTTCTTTTTACAGAGCAGTTTTGAAACACTCTTTTTGTAGAATCTGCGAGGGGATATTTGGATAGATTTCAGGATTTCGTTGGAAACGGGAATATCTTCATATAAAATACTCGACAGAAGCATTCTCAGAAACTTCTTTGTGATATGTGCATTCAAGTCACAGAGTTGAATATTCCCTTTCACAGAGTAGGCTTGAAACACTCTTTTTGTAGTATCTGGAAGTGGACATTTGGAGCGCCTTGACACCTACGGTGAAAAGGGAAATATCTTCCCATAAAAACTAGACAGAAAGTAATCTCAGAAACTTCTTTGGGATATATGCACGCAGCTAACAGAGTTGAACCTTTCTATTGACAGAGCAGTTTTGAAACAGTCTTTCTGTGGAATCTGCAAGTGAATATTTGGATAGCTTGGAGGATTTCGTTGGAAACGGGATTACGTATAAAAAGTAGACAGCAGCATCCTCAGAAACTTCTTTGTGATGTGTGCATTCAAGTCACAGAGTTGAACATTCCCTTTCGTACAGTAGTTTTGAAACACTCTTTCTGTAGTATCTGGAATTGAACATTAGGACAGCTTTCAGGTACTATGGTGAGAAAGGAAATATCTTCAAATAAAAACTAGACAGAAGCATTCTCATAAACTTGTTTGTGATGTGTGAACTCAGCTAACAGAGGTGGATCTTTCTTTTGATAGAGCAGTTCTGAAAAACACTTTTTGTTGAATCTGCAAGTGGACATTTGGATAGATTTGAAGATTTCGTTGCAAACGGGAATACCTTCATATCAAATCTAGACAGAAGCATTGTCAGAAACGTCTTTGTGATGTTTGCATTCAACTCATAGAGTTGAACATTCCGTTTCAGAGAGCAGCTTTGAGGCACTCTTTTTGTAGTATGTGCAAGTGGATATTTGGAGCGCTCTGAGGCCTACGGTGAAAAAGCAAATATCTTCCCATAACCACTAGACAGAAACATTCTCAGAAACTCCTTTATGACGTATGCACTCACCTAACAGAAAAGAACCTTCCTTTTGACAGAGCAGTTTTGATACACACTTTTTGTAGAATCTGCAAGTGGATATTTGGATAGCTGTGAAGATTCCGTTGGAAACGGGAATATCTTCCTATAAAATCTAGACAGAAGCATTCTCAGAAACTGCTCTGTGATGTCTGCTTTCAAGTCACAGAGTTGAACATTGCCTTTCATAGAGCAGGTTTGAAACGCTCTTTTTGTAGTATATGGAAGTGGATGTTTCGGACGGTTGGAGGCCCATGGTGATAAAGAGAATATCTTCCCCTACAAGCTAGAAAGAAGCATTCTGTGAAACTTGTTTGTGATGTGTGTACTCAACTAACAGAGTTGAACCTTTCTTTTTACAGAACAGTTTTGAAACACTCTTTTTGTAGAATCTGCGAGGGGATATTTGGATACATTTCAGCATTTCGTTGGAAACGGGAATATCTTCATATAAAATCTCGACAGAAGCATTCTCAGAAACTTCTTTGTGATATCTGCATTCAAGTCACAGAGTTGAATATTCCCTTTCACAGAGTAGGTTTGAAACACTCTTTTTGTAGTATCTGGAAGTGGACATTTGGAGCGCCTTGACACCTACGGTGAAAAGGGAAATATCTTTCCATAAAAACTAGACAGAAGCAATCTCAGAATCTTCTTTGGGATATATGCACGCAGCTAACAGAGTTGAACCTTTCTATTGACAGAGTAGTTTTGAAACAGTCTTTCTGTGGAATCTCCAAGTGGATATTTGGATAGCTTGGAGTATTTCGTTGGAAACGGGATTACGTATAAAAAGTAGACAGCAGCATCCTCAGAAACTTCTTTGTGATGTGTGCATTCAAGTCACAGAGTTGAACATTCCCTTTCGTACAGCAGTTTTGAAACGCTCTTTCTGTAGTATCTGGAAGTGAACATTAGGACAGCTTTCAGGTCTATGTTGAGAAAGGGAATATCTTCAAATAAAAACTAGACAGAAGCATTCTCATAAACCTTTTTGTGATGTGTGAACTCAGCTAACAGAGGTGGATCTTTCTTTTGATAGAGCAGTTCTGAAAAACACTTTTTGTTGAATCTGCAAGTGGACATTTGGATAGATTTGAAGATTTCGTTGGAAACGGGAATATCTTCATATCAAATCTAGACAGAAGCATTCTCAGAAACGTCTTTGCGTTGTTTGCATTCAACTCATAGAGTTGAACATTCCGTTTCAGAAAGCAGCTTTGAGGCACTCTTTTTGTAGTATGTGCAAGTGGATATTTGGAGCGCTCTGAGGCCTACGGTGAAAAAGCAAATATCTTTCCATAACCACTAGACAGAAACATTCTCAGAAACTCCTTTATGACGTATGCACTCACCTAACAGAGAAGAACCTTCCTTTTGACAGAGCAGTTTTGATGCACTCTTTTTGTAGAATCTGCAAGTGGATATCTGGATAGCTGTGAATATTTCGTTGGAAACGGGAATATCTTCCTATAAAATCTAGACAGAAGCATTCTCAGAAACTGCTCTGTGATGTCTGCATTGAAGTCACAGAGTTGAACATTGCCTTTCCTAGAGCAGGTTTGAAACGCTCTTTTTGTAGTATATGGAAGTGGACGTTTCGGACGGTTGGAGGCCCAGGGTGATAAAGGGAATATCTTCCCCTACAAGCTAGAAAGAAGCATTCTGTGAAACTTGTTTGTGATGTGTGTACTCAACTAACAGAGTTGAACCTTTCTTTTCACAGAGCAGTTTTGAAACACTCTTTTTGTAGAATCTGCGAGGGGATATTTGGATAGATTTCAGGATTTCTTTGGAAACGGGAATATCTTCATATAAAATCTCGACAGAAGCATTCTCAGAAACTTCTTTGTGATATGTGCATTCAAGTCACAGAGTTGAATATTCCCTTTCACAGAGTAGGTTTGAAACACTCTTTTTGTAGTATCTGGAAGTGGACATTTGGAGCGCCTTGACGCCTACGGTGAAAAGGGAATATCTTCCCATAAAAACTAGACAGAAGCAATCTTAGAATCTTCTTTGGGATATATGCACGCAGCTAACAGAGTTGAACCTTTCTATTGACAGAGCAGTTTTGAAACAGTCTTTCTGTGGAATCTGCAAGTGGATATTTGGATAGATTGGAGGATTTCGTTGGAAACGGGATTACGTATAAAAAGTAGACTGCAGCATCCTCAGAAACTTCTTTGTGATGTGTGCATTCAAGTCACAGTGTTGAACATTCCCTTTCGTACAGCAGTTTTGAAACACTCTTTCTGTAGTATCTGGAAGTGAACATTAGGACAGCTTTCAGCTCTATGGTGAGAAAGGAAATATCTTCAAATAAAAACTAGACAGAAGCATTCTCATAAACTTGTTTGTGATGTGTGAACTCAGCTAACAGAGGTGGATCTTTCTTTTGATAGAGCAGTTCTGAAAAACACTTTTTGTTTAATCTGCAAGTGGACATTTGGATAGATTTGAAGATTTCGTTGGAAACGGGAATATCTTCATATCAAATCTAGACAGAAGCATTCTCGGAAACGTCTTTGTGATGTTTGCATTCAACACATAGAGTTGAACATTCCGTTTCAGAGAGCAGCTTTGAAGCACTCTTTTTGTAGTATGTGCAAGTGGATATTTGGAGCACTCTGAGGCCTAGGGTGAAAAAGCAAATATCTTCCCATAACCACTAGACAGAAACATTCTCAGAAACTCCTTTATAACGTATGCACTCACCTAACAGAGAAGAACCTTCCTTTTGACAGAGCAGTTTTGATACACTCTTTTTGTAGAATCTGCAAGTGGATATTTGGATAGCTGTGAAGATTTCGTTGGAAACGGGAATATCTTCCTATAAAATCTAGAGAGAAGCATTCTCAGAAACTGCTCTGTGATGTCTGCATTCAAGTCACAGAGTTGAACATTGCCTTTCATAGAGCAGGTTTGAAATGCTCTTTTTGTAGTATATGGAAGTGGACGTTTCGGACGGTTTGAGACCCATGGTGATAAAGGGAATATATTCCCCTACAAGCTAGAAAGAAGCATTCTGTGAAACTTGTTTGTGATGTGTGTACTCAACTAACAGAGTTGAAACTTTCTTTTTACAGAGCAGTTTTGAAACACTCTTTTTGTAGAATCTGCGAGGGGATATTTCGATAGATTTCAGGATTCCGTTGGAAACGGGAATATCTTCATATAAAATCTCGACAGAAGCATTCTCAGAAACTTCTTTGTGATATGTGCATTCAAGTTACAGAGTTGAATATTCCCTTTCACAGATTAGGTTTGAAACACTCTTTTTGAGGCATCTGGAAGTGGACATTTGGAGCGCCTTGACGCCTACGGTGAAAAGGGAAATATCTTCCCATAAAAACTAGACAGAAGCAATCTCAGAATCTTCTTTGGGATATATGCACGCAGCTAACAGAGTTGAACCTTTCTATTGACAGAGCAGTTTTGAAACAGTCTTTCTGTGGAATCCGCAAGTGGATATTTGGATAGATTAGAGGATTTCGTTGGAAACGGGATTACGTATAAAAAGTAGACAGCAGCATCCTCAGAAACTTCTTTGTGATGTGTGCATTCAAGTCACAGATTTGAACATTCCCTTTCGTACAGCAGCTTTGAAACACTCTTTCTGTAGTATCTGGAAGTGAACATTAGGACAGCTTTCAGGTCTATGGTGAGAAAGGAAATATCTTCAAATAAAAACTAGACAGAAGCATTCTCATAAACCTGTTTGTGATGTGTGAACTCAGCTAACAGAGGTGGATCTTTCTTTTGATAGAGCAGTTCTGAAAAACACTTTTTGTTGAATCTGCAAGTGGACATTTGGATAGATTTGAAGATTTCGTTGGAAACGGGAATATCTTCATATCAAATCTAGACAGAAGCATTCGCGGTAACGTCTTTGTGATGTTTGCATTCAACTCATAGAGTTGAACATTCCGTTTCAGAGAGCAGCTTTGAAGCACTCTTTTTGTAGTATGTGCAAGTGGATATTTGGAGCGCTCTGAGGCCTACGGTGAAAAAGCAAATATCTTCCCATAACCACTAGACAGAAACATTCTCAGAAACTTCTTTATGACGTATGTACTCAACTAGCAGAGAAGAACTTTCCTTTTGACAGAGCATTTTTGATACACTCTTTTTGTAGTATCTGCAAGTGGATATTTGGATAGCTGTGAAGATTTCGTTGGAAACGGGAATATCTTCCTATAAAGTCTGGACAGAAGCATTTTCAGAAACTGCTCTGTGATGTCTGCATTCAAGTCACAGAGTTGAACATTGCCTTTCATAGAGCAGGTTTCAAACACTCTTTTTTTAGTATATGGAAGTGGACGTTTCGGACGGTTTGAGGACCATGGTGATAAAGGAAATATCTTCCCCTACAAGCTAGAAAGAAGCATTCTGTGAAACTTGTTTGTGATGTGTGTACTCAACTAACAGAGTGGAACCTTTCTTTTTACAGAGCAGTTTTGAAACACTCTTTTTGTAGAATCTGCGAGGGGATATTTGGATAGATTTCAGGATTTCGTTGGAAACGGGAATATCTTCATATAAAATCTCGACAGAAGCATTCTCAGAAACTTCATTGTGATATCTGCATTCAAGTCACAGAGTGGAATATTCCCTTTCACAGAGTAGGTTTGAAACACTCTTTTTGTAGTATCTGGAAGTGGACCTTTGGAGCGCCTTGACACCTACGGTGAAAAGGGAAATATCTTCCCGTAAAAACTAGACAGAAGCAATCTCAGAATCTTCTTTGGGATATATGCACGCAGCTAACAGAGTTGAACCTTTCTATTGACAGAGCAGTTTTGAAACAGTCTTTCTGTGGAATCTGCAAGTGGATGTTTGGATAGATTGGAGGATTTCGTTGGAAACGGGATTACGTATAAAAAGTAGACAGCAGCATCCTCAGAAACTTATTTGTGAGGTGTGCATTCAAGTCACAGAGTTGAACATTCCCTTTCGTACAGCAGTTTTGAAACACTGTTTCTGTAGTATCTGGAAGTGAACATTAGGACAGCTTTCAGGTCTATGGTGAGAAAGGAAATATCTTCAAATAAAAACTAGACAGAAACATTCTCATAAATTTGTTTGTGATGTGTAAACTCAGCTAACAGTCGTGGATCTTTCTTTTGATACAGCAGTTTTGAAAAACACTTTTTGTTGAATCTGCAAGTGGACATTTGGATAGATATGAAGATTTCGTTGGAAACGGGAATATCTTCATATCAAATCTAGACAGAAGCATTCTCAGAAACGTCTTTGTGATGTTTTCATTCAACTCATAGAGTTGAACATTCCGTTTCAGAGACCAGCTTTGAAGCACTCTTTTTGTAGTATGTGCAAGTGGATATTTGGAGCGCTCTGAGGCCTACGGTGAAAAAGCAAATATCTTCCCATAACCACTAGACAGAAACATTCTCAGAAACTCCTTTATGACGTATGCACTCACCTAACAGAGAAGAACCTTCCTTTTGACAGAGCAGTTTTGATACACTCTTTTTGTAGAATCTGCAAGTGAATATTTGGATACCTGTGAAGATTTCGTTGGAAACGGGAATATCTTCCTATAAAATCTAGACAGAAAGCATTCTCAGAAACTGCTCTGTGATGTCTGCATTCAAGTCACAGAGTTGAACATTGCCTTTCATAGAGCAGGTTTGAAACGCTCTTTTTGTAGTATATGGAAGTGGATGTTTCGGACGGTTGGAGGCCCATGGTGATAAAGGGAATATCTTCCTCTACAAGCTAGAAAGAGAAGCATTCTGTGAAACTTGTTTGTGATGTGTGTACTCAACTAACAGAGTTGAACCTTTCTTTTTACAGAGCAGTTTTGAAACACTCTTTTTGTAGAATCTGCGAGGGGATATTTGGATAGATTTCAGGATTTCTTTGGAAAGGGGAATATCTTCATATAAAATCTCGACAGAAGCATTCTCAGAAACTTCTTTGTGATATCTGCATTCAAGTCACAGAGTTGAATATTCCCTTTCACAGAGTAGGTTTCAAACATTCTTTTTGTAGTATCTGGAAGTGGACATTTGGAGCGCCTTGACGCCTACGGTGAAAAGGGAAATATCTTCCCATAAAAACTAGACAGAAGCAATCTCAGAATCTTCTTTGGGATATATGCACGCAGCTAAGAGAGTTGAATCTTTCTATTGACAGAGCAGATTTGAAACAGTCTTTCTGTGGAATCTGCAAGTGGATATTTGGATAGATTGGAGGATTTCGTTGGAAACGGGTTTACGTATAAAAAGTAGACAGCCAGCATCCTCAGAAACTTCTTTGTGATGTGTGCATTCAAGTCACAGAGTTGAACATTCCCTTTCGTACAGCAGTTTTGAAACACTCTTTCTGTAGTATCTGGAAGTGAACATTAGGACAGCTTTCAGGTCTATGGTGAGAAAGGAAATATCTTCAAATAAAAACTAGACAGAGCATTCTGATAAACTTGTTTGTGAAGTGCGAACTCAGCTAACAGAGGTGGATCTTTCTTTTGAAACAGCAGTTTTAAAAAACACTTTTTGTTGAATCTGCAAGTGGACATTTGAATAGATTTGAAGATTTCGTTGGAAACAGGAATACCTTCATATGAAATCTAGACAGAAGCATTCTCAGAAACGTCTTTGTGATGATTGCATTCAACTCATAGAGTTGAACATTCCGTTTCAGAGAGCAGCTTTGAAGCACTCTTTTTGTAGTATGTGCAAGTGGATATTTGGAGTGCTCTGGGGCCTACGGTGAAAAAGCAAATATCTTCCCATAACCACTAGACAGAAAACATTCTCAGAAACTCCTTTATGACGTATGCACTCACCTAACAGAGAAGAACCTTCCTTTTGACAGAGCAGTTTTGATACACTCTTTTTGTAGAATCTGCAAGTGGATATTTCGATAGCTGTGAAGATTTTGTTGGAAACGGGAATATCTTCCTATAAAATCTAGACAGAAGCATTCTCTGAAACTGCTCTGTGATGTCTGCATTCAAGTCACAGAGTTGAACGTTGCCTTTCATAGAGCAGGTTTCAAACACTCTTTTTTTAGTATATGGATGTGGACGTTTCGGACGGTTTGAGGACCATGGTGATAAAGGAAATATCTTCCCCTACAAGCTAGAAAGAAGCATTCTGTGAAACTTGTTTGTGATGTGTGTACTCAACTAACAGAGTTGAACCTTTCTTTTTACAGAGCAGTTTTGAAACACTCTTTTTGTAGAATCTGCGAGGGGATATTTGGATAGATTTCAGGATTTCGTTGGAAACGGGAATATCTTCATATAAAATCTTGACAGAAGCATTCTCAGAAACTTCCTTGTGATATGTGCATTCAAGTCACAGAGTTGAATATTCCCTTTCACAGAGTAGGTTTGAAACACTCTTTTTGTAGTATCTGGAAGTGGTCATTTGGAGCGCCTTGACGCCCACGGTGAAAAGGGAAATATCTTCCCATAAAAACTAGACAGAAGCAATCTCAGAATCTTCTTTGGGATATATGCACGCAGCTAACAGAGTTGAACCTTTCTATTGACAGAGCAGTTTTGAAACAGTCTTTCTGTGGAATCTGCAAGTGGATATTTGGATAGCTTGGAGGATTTCGTTGGAAACGGGATTACGTATAAAAAATAGACAGCAGCATCCTGAGAAACTTCCTTGTGATGTGTGCATTCAAGTCACAGAGTTGAACATTCCCTTTCGTACAGCAGTTTTGAAACACTCTTTCTGTAGTATCTGGAAGTGAACATTAGGACAGCGTTCAGGTCTATGGTGAGAAAGGAAATATCTTCAAATAAAAAGTAGACAGAAGCATTCTCATCAATTTGTTTGTGATGTGTGAACTCAGCTAACAGAGGTGGATCTTTCTTTTGATAGAGCAGTTCTGAAAAACACTTTTTGTTGAATCTGCAAGTGGACATTTGGATAGATTTGAAGATTTCGTTGGAAACGGGAATATCTTCATATCAAGTCTAGACAGAAGCATTCTCAGAAACGTCTTTGTGATGTTTGCATTCAACTCATAGAGTTGAACATTCCCTTTCAGAGAGCAGCTTTGAAGCACTCTTTTTGTAGTATGTTCAAGTGGACATTTGGAGCGCTTTGAGGCTTACGGGGAAAAAGCAAATATCTTCCCATAACCACTAGACAGAAAACATTCTCAGAAACTCCTTTATGACGTATGCACTCACCTAACAGCAAAAGAACCTTCCTTTTGACAGAGCAGTTTTGATACACTCTTTTTGTAGAATCTGCAAGTGGATATTTGGATAGCTGTGAAGATTTCGTTGGAAACGGGAATATCTTCCTATAAAGTCTAGACAGAAGCATTCTCAGAAACTGCTCTGTGATGTTTGCATTCAAGTCACAGAGTTGAACATTGCCTTTCCTAGAGCAGGTTTGAAACGCTCTTTTTGTACTATATGGAAGTGGACGTTTCGGACGGTTTGAGGCCCATGGTGATAAAGGGAATATCTTCCCCTACAAGCTAGAAAGAAGCATTCTGTGAAACTTGTTTGTGATGTGTGTACTCAACTAACAGAGTTGAACCTTTCTTTTTACAGAGCAGCTTTGAAACACTCTTTTTGTAGAATCTGCGAGGGGATATTTGGATAGATTTCAGGATTTCGTTGGAAACGGGAATATCTTCATATAAAATCTCGACAGAAGCATTCTCAGAACCTTCTTTGTGATATGTGCATTCAAGTCACAGAGTTGAATATTCCCTTTCACAGAGTAGGTTTGAAACACTCTTTTTGTAGTATCTGGAAGTGGACATTTTGAGCACCTTGACGCCTACGGTGAAAAGGGAAATATCTTCTCATAAAAAGTAGACAGAAGCAATCTCAGAATCTTCTTTGGGATATATGCACGCAGCTAACAGAGTTGAACCTTTCTATTGACAGAGCAGTTTTGAAACAGTCTTTCTGTGGAATCTGCAAGTGGATATTTGGATAGCTTGGAGGATTTCGTTGGAAACGGGATTAAGTATAAACAGTAGACAGCAGCATCCTCAGAAACTTCTTTGTGATGTGTGCATTCAAGTCACAGAGTTGAACATTCCCTTTCGTACAGCAGTTTTGAAACACTCTTTCTGTAGTAACTGGAAGTGAACATTAGGACAGCTTTCAGGTACTATGGTGAGAAAGGAAATATCTTCAAATAAAAACTAGACAGAAGCATTCTCATAAACTTGTTTCTGATGTGTGAACTCAGCTAAGAGAGGTGGATCTTTCTTTTGATAGAGAAGTTCTGAAAAACACTTTTTGTTGAATCTGCAAGTGGACATTTGGATAGATTTGAAGATTTCGTTGGAAACGGGAATATCTTCATATCAAATCTAGACAGAAGCATTCTCAGAAACCTCTTTGTGATGTTTGCATTCAACTCATAGAGTTGAACATTCCCTTCCAGAGAGCAGCTTTGAGGCACTCTTTTTGTAGCATGTGCAAGTGGACATTTGGAGCGCCCTGAGGCCTACGGGGAAAAAGCAAATATCTTCCCATAACCACTAGACAGAAACATTCTCAGAAACTCCTTTATGACGTATGCACTCACCTAACAGAGAAGAACCTTCCTTTTGACAGAGCAGTTTTGATACACTCTTTTTGTAGAATATGCAAGTGGATATTTGGATAGCTGTGAAGATTTCGTTGGAAACGGGAATATCTTCCTATAAAATCTAGACAGAAGCATTCTCAGAAACTGCTCTGTGATGTTTGCTTTCATGTCACAGAGTTGAACATTGCCTTTCATAGAGCAGGTTTCAAGCACTCTTTTTTTAGTATATGGAAGTGGACGTTTCGGACGGTTTGAGGCCCATGGTGATAAAGGAAATATCTTCCCCTACAAGCTAGAAAGAAGCATTGTGTGAAACTTATTTGTGATGTGTGTACTCAACTAACAGAGTTGAACCTTTCTTTTTACAGAGCAGTTTTGAAACACTCTTTTTGTACAATCTGCGAGGGGATATTTGGATACATTTCAGGATTTTGTTGGAAACGGGAATATCTTCATATAAAATCTCGACAGAAGCATTCTCAGAAACTTCTTTGTGATATCTGCATTCAAGTCACAGAGTTGAATATTCCCTTTCACAGAGTAGGTTTGAAACACTCTTTTTGTAGTATCTGGAAGTGGACATTTGGAGCGCCTTGACACCTATTGTGAAAAGGGAAATATCTTCCCATAAAAACTAGACAGAAGCAATCTCAGAATTTTCTTTGGGATATATGCACACAGCTAACAGAGTTGAACTTTTCTATTGACAGAGCAGTTTTGAAACAGTCTTTCTGTGGAATCTGCAAGTGGATATTTGGATAGCTTGGAGGATTTCGTTGGAAACGGGATTACGTATAAAAAGTAGACAGCAGCATCCTCAGAAACTTCTTTGTGATGTGTGCATTCAAGTCACAGAGTTGAACATTCCCTTTTGTACAGCAGTTTTGAAACACTCTTTCTGTAGTATCTGGAAGTGAACATTAGGACAGCTTTCAGGTCTATGGTGAGAAAGAAAATATCTTCAAATAAAAACTAGACAAGAAGCATTCTCATAAACTTGTTTGTGATGTGTGAACTCATCTAACAGAGGTGGATCTTTCTTTTGATAGAGCAGTTCTGAAAAACACTTTTTGTTGAATCTGCAAGTGGACATTTGGATAGATTTGAAGATTTCGTTGGAAACGGGAATATCTTCATATAAAATCTAGACAGAAGCATTCTCAGAAACGTCTTTGTGATGTTTGCATTCAACTCATAGAGTTGAACATTCCCTTTCAGAGAGCAGCTTTGAAACACTCTTTTTGTAGTATGTGCAAGTGGATATTTGGAGCGCTCTGAGGCCTAAGGTGAAAAGGCAAATATCTTCCCATAACCACTAGACTTAAACATTCTCAGCAAACTCCTTTATGACGTATGCACTCACCTAACAGAAAAGAACCTTCCTTTTGACAGAGCAGTTTTGATACACTCTTTTTGTAGAATCTGCAAGTGGATATTTGGATAGCTGTGAAGATTTCGTTGGAAACGGGAATATCTTCCTATAAAATCTAGACAGAAGCATTCTCAGAAACTGCTCTGTGATGTCTGCATTCAAGTCACAGAGTTGAACATTGCCTTTCATAGAGCAGGTTTGAAACTCTCTTTTTGTAGTATATGGAAGTGGACGTTTCGGACGGTTTGAGGCCCATGGTGATAAAGGGAATATCTTCCCCTACAAGCTAGAAAGAAGCATTGTGTGAAACTTGTTTGTGATGTGTGTACTCAACTAACAGAGTTGAACCTTTCTTTTTACAGAGCAGTTTTAAAACACTCTTTTTGTAGAATCTGCGAGGGGATATTTGGATACATTTCAGGATTTCGTTGGAAACGGGAATATCTTCATATAAAATCTCGACAGAAGCATTCTCAGAAACTTCTTTGTGATATGTGCATTCAAGTCACAGAGTTGAATATTCCCTTTCACAGAGTAGGTTTGAAACACTCTTTTTGTAGTATTTGGATGTGGACATTTGGAGCGCCTTGACACCTACGGTGAAAAGGGAAATATCTTCCCATAAAAACTAGACAGAAGCAATCTCAGAATCTTCTTTGGGATATATGCACGCAGCAAACAGAGTTGAACCTTTCTATTGACTGAGCAGATTTGAAACAGTCTTTCTGTGGAATCTGCAAGTGGATATTTGGATAGCTTGGAGGATTTCGTTGGAAACGGGATTACGTATAAAAAGTAGACAGCAGCATCCTCAGAAACTTCTTTGTGATGTGTGCATTCAAGTCACAGAGTTGAACATTCCCTTTCGTACAGCAGTTTTGAAACACTCTTTCTGTAGTATCTGGAAGTGAACATTAGGACAGCTTTCAGGTCTATGGTGAGAAAGGAAATATCTTCAACTAAAAACTAGACAGAAGCATTCTCATAAACTTGTTTGTGATGTGTGAACTCAGCTAACAGAGGTGGATCTTTCTTTTGATAGAGCAGTTCTGAAAAACACTTTTTGTTGAATCTGCAAGTGGACATTTCGATAGATTTGAAGATTTCGTTGGAAACGGGAATATCTTCATATCAAATCTAGACAGAAGCATTCTCAGAAACGTCTTTGTGATGTTTGCATTCAACTCATAGAGTTGAACATTCCTTTTCAGAGAGCAGCTTTGAAGCACTCTTTTTGTACTATGTGCAAGTGGATATTTGGAGCGCTCTGAGGCCTACGGTGAAAAAGCAAATATCTTCCCATAACCACTAGACAGAAACATTCTCAGAAACTCCTTTATGACGTATGTACTCACCTAAGAGAGAAGAACCTTCCTTTTGACAGAGCAGTTTTGATACACTCTTTTTGTAGAATCTGCAAGTGGATATTTGGATAGCTGTGAAGATTTCGTTGGAAACGGGAATATCTTCCTATAAAATCTAGACAGAAGCATTCTCAGAAACTGCTCTGTGATGTCTGCATTCAAGTCACAGAGTTGAACATTGCCTTTCATAGAGCAGGTTTGAAACGCTCTTTTTGTAGTATATGGAAGTGGACTTTTCGGACGGTTTGAGGCCCATGGTAATAAAGGGAATATCTTCCCCTACAAGCTAGAAAGAAGCATTCTGTGAAACTTGTTTGTGATGTGTGTACTCAAGTAACAGAGTTGAACCTTTCTTTTTACAGAGCAGTTTTGAAACACTCTTTCTGTAGAATCTGCGAGGGGATATTTGGATAGATTTCAGGATTTCGTTGGAAACGGGAATATCTTCATATAAAACCTCGACAGAAGCATTCTCAGAAACTTCTTTGTGATATGTGCATTCAAGTCACAGAGTTGAATATTCGCTTTCACAGAGTAGGTTTGAAACACTCTTTTTGTAGTATCTGGAAGTGGACATTTGGAGCGCCTTGACGCCTACGGTGAAAAGGGAAATATCTTCCCATAAAAACTAGACAGAAGCAATCTCAGAATCTTCTTTGGGATATATGCACGCAGCTAACAGAGTTGAACCTTTCTATTGACAGAGCAGTTTTGAAACTGTCTTTCTGTGGAATCTGCAAGTGGATATTTGGATAGATTGGAGGATTTCGTTGCAAAGGGGATTACGTATAAAAAGTAGACAGCAGCATCCTCAGAAATCATTCTTTGTGATGTGTGCATTCAAGTCACAGAGTTGAACATTCCCTTTCGTACAGCAGTTTTGAAACACTCTTTCTGTAGTATCTGGAAGTGAACATTAGGACAGCTTTCAGGTCTATGGTGAGAAAGGAAATATCTTCAAATAAAAACTAGATAGAAAGCATTCTCATAAACTTGTTTGTGATGTGTGAACTCAGCTAACAGAGGCGGATCTTTCTTTTGATAGAGCAGTTCGGAAAAACACTTTTTGTTGAATCTGCAAGTGGACATTTGGATAGATTTGAAGATTTCGTTGGAAACGGGAATATCTTCATATCAAATCTAGACAGAAGCATTCTCAGAAACGTCTTTGCGATGTTTGCATTCAACTCATCGAGTTGAACATTCCGTTTCAGAGAGCAGCTTTGAGGCACTCTTTTTGTAGTATGTGCAAGTGGATATTTGGAGCGCTCTGAGGCCTACGGTGAAAAAGCAAATATCTTCCCATAACCACTAGACAGAAACATTCTCAGAAACTCCTTTATGACGTATGCACTCACCTAACAGAAAAGAACCTTCCTTTTGACAGAGCAGTTTAGATACACTCTTTTTGTAGAATCTGCAAGTGGATATTTGGATAGCTGTGAAGATTTCGTTGGAAACGGGAATATCTTCCTATAAAATCTAGACAGAAGCATTCTCAGAAACTGCTCTGTGATGTCTGCATTCAAGTCACAGAGTTGAACATTGCCTTTCATAGAGCAGGTTTGAAACACTCTTTTTGTAGTATATGGAAGTGGACATTTCGGACGGTTTGAGGCCCATGGTGATAAAGGGAATATCTTCCCCTACAAGCTAGAAAGAAGCATTCTGTGAAACTAGTTTGTGATGTGTGTACTCAACTAACAGAGTTGAACCTTTCTTTTTACAGAGCAGTATTGAAACACTCTTTTTGAAGAATCTGCGAGGGGATATTTGGATAGATTTCAGGATTTCGTTGGAAACGGGAATATCTTCATATAAAATCTCGACAGAAGCATTCTCAGAAACTTCTTTGTGATATCTGCATTCAAGTCACAGAGTTGAATATTCCCTTTCACAGAGTAGGTTTGAAACACTCTTTTTGTAGTATCTGGAAGTGGACATTTGGAGCACCTTGACACCTACGGTGAAAAGGGAAATATCTTCCCATAAATACTAGACAGAAGCAATCTCAGAATCTTCTTTGGGATATATGCACGCAGCTAACAGAGTTGAACCTTTCTATTGACAGAGCAGTTTTGAAACAGTCTTTCTGTGGAATCTGCAAGTGGACATTTGGATAGCTTGGAGGATTTCGTTGGAAACGGGATTACGTATAAAAAGTAGACAGCAGCATCCTCAGAAACTTCTTTGTGATGTGTGCATTCAAGTCACAGAGTTGAACATTCCCTTTCGTACAGCAGTTTTGAAACACTCTTTCTGTAGTATCTGGAAGTGAACACTAGGACAGCTTTCAGGTCTATGGTGAGAAAGGAAATATCTTCAAATAAAAACTAGACAGAAGCATTCTCATAAACTTGTTTGTGATGTGTGAACTCAGCTAACATAGGTGGATCTTTCTTTTGATAGAGCAGTTCTGAAAAACACTTTTTGTTGAATCTGCAAGTGGACATTTGGATAGATTTGAAGATTTCGTTGGAAACGGGAATATCTTCATATCAAATCTAGACAGAAGCATTCTCAGAAACGTCTTTGCGATGTTTGCATTCAACTCATAGAGTTGAACATTCCCTTTCAGAGAGCAGCTTTGAGGCACTCTTTTTGTAGTATGTGCAAGTGGATATTTGGAGCGCTCTGAGGCCTACGGTGAAAAAGCAAATATCTTCCCATAACCACTAGACAGAAACATTCTCAGAAACTTCTTTATGACGTATGTACTCAACTAGCAGAGAAGAACTTTCCTTTTGACAGAGCATTTTTGATACATTCTTTTTGTAGTATCTGCAAGTGGATATTTGGATAGCTGTGAAGATTTCCTTGGAAACGGGAATATCTTCCTATAAAGTCTGGACAGAAGCATTCTCAGAAACTGCTCTGTGATGTCTGCATTCAAGTCACAGAGTTGAACATTGCCTTTCATAGAGCAGGTTTCAAACACTCTTTTTTTAGTATATGGAAGTGGACGTTTCGGATGGTTTGAGGCCCATGGTGATAAAGGAAATATCTTCCCCTACAAGCTAGAAAGAAGCATTCTGTGAAACTTGTTTGTGATGTGTGTACTCAACTAATAGAGTTGAACCTTTCTTTTTACAGAGCAGTTTTGAAACACTCTTTTTGTAGAATCTGCGAGGGGATATTTGGATAGATTTCAGGATTTCGTTGGAAACGGGAATATCTTCATAGAAAATCTCGACAGAAGCATTCTCAGAAACTTCCTTGTGATATGTGCATTCAAGTCACAGAGTTGAATATTCCCTTTCACAGAGTAGGTTTGAAACACTCTTTTTGTAGTATCCGGAAGTGGACATTTGGAGCGCCTTGACGCCCACGGTGAAAAGGGAAATATCTTCCCATAAAAACTAGACAGAAGCAATCTCAGAATCTTCTTTGGGATATATGCACGCAACTAACAGAGTTGAACCTTTCTATTGACAGAGCAGTTTTGAAACAGTCTTTCTGTGGAATCTGCAAGTGGATATTTGGATAGCTTGGAGGATTTCGTTGGAAACGGGATTAGGTATAAAAAGTAGACAGCAGCATCCTCAGAAACTTCTTTGTGATGTGTGCATTCAAGTCACAGAGTTGAACATTCCCTTTCGTACAGCAGTTTTGAAACACTCTTTCTGTAGTATCTGGAAGTGAACATTAGGACAGCTTTCAGGTCTATGGTGAGAAAGGCAATATCTTCAAATAAAAACTAGACAGAAGCATTCTCATAAACTTGTTTGTGATGTGTGAACTCAGCTAACAGACGTGGATCTTTCTTTTGATACAGCAGTTTCGAAAAACACTTTTTGTTGAATCTGCAAGTGGACATTTGGATAGATTTGAAGATTTCGTTGGAAACGGGAATATCTTCATATCAAATCTAGACAGAAGCATTCTCAGAAACGTCTTTGTGATGTTTGCATTCAACTCATAGAGTTGAACATTCCGTTTCAGAGAGCAGCTTTGAAGCACTCTTTTTGTAGTATGTGCAAGTGGATATTTGGAGCGCTCTGAGGCCTACGGTGAAAAAGAAAATATCTTCCCATAACCACTAGACAGAAACATTCTCAGAAACTCCTTTATGACGTATGTACTCAACTAACAGAGAAGAACCTTCCTTTTGAAAGAGCAGTTTTGATACACTCTTTTTGTAGAATCTGCAAGTGGATATTTGGATAGCTGTGAAGATTTCTTTGGAAACGGGAATATCTTCCTATAAAATCTAGACAGAAAGCATTCTCAGAAACTGCTCTGTGATGTCTGCATTCAAGTCACAGAGTTGAACATTGCCTTTCATAGAGCAGGTTTGAAACGCTCTTTTTGTAGTATATGGAAGTGGATGTTTCGGACGGTTGGAGGCCCATGGTGATAAAGGGAATATCTTCCCCTACAAGCTAGAAAGAAGCATTGTGTGAAACTTGTTTGTGATGTGTGTACTCAACTAACAGAGTTGAACCTTTCTTTTTACAGAGCAGTTTTGAAACAATCTTTTTGTAGAATCTGCGAGGGGATATTTGGATAGATTTCAGGATTTCGTTGGAAACGGGAATATCTTCATATAAAATCTCGACAGAAAGCATTCTCAGAAACTTCTTTGTGATATGTGCATTCAAGTCACAGAGGTGAATATTCCCTTTCACAGAGTAGGTTTGAAACACTCTTTTTGTAGTATCTGGAAGTGGACATTTGGAGCGCCTTGACGCCTACGGTGAAAAGGGAAATATCTTCCCATAAAAACTAGACAGAAGCAATCTCAGAATCTTCTTTGGGATATATGCACGCAGCTAACAGAGTTGAACCTTTCTATTGACAGAGCAGTTTTGAAACAGTCTTTCTGTGGAATCTGCAAGTGGATATTTGGATAGCTTGGAGGATTTCGTTGGAAACGGGATTACGTATAAAAAGTAGACAGCAGCATCCTCAGAACCTCCTTTTGATGTGTGCATTCAAGTCACAGAGTTGAACATTCCCTTTCGTACAGCAGTATTGAAACACTCTTTCTGTAGTATCTGGAAGTGAACATTAGGACAGCTTTCAGGTCTATGGTGAGAAAGGAAATATCTTCAAATAAAAACTAGACAGAAGCATTCTCATAAACTTGTTTGTGATGTGTGAACTCAGCTAACAGAGGTGGATCTTTCTTTTGATAGAGCAGTTCGGAAAAACACTTTTTGTTGAATCTCCAAGTGGACATTTGGATAGATTTGAAGATTTCGTTGGAAACGGGAATATCTTTATATCAAATCTAGACAGAAGGCATTCTCAGAAACGTCTTTGTGATGTTTGCATTCAACTCATAGAGTTGAACATTCCCTTTCAGAGAGCAGCTTTGAAGCACTCTTTTTGTAGTATGTGCAAGGGGATATTTGGAGCGCTCTGAGGCCTAAGGTGAAAAAGCAAATATCTTCCCATAACCACTAGACAGAAACATTCTCAGAAACTCCTTTATGACGTATGCACTCACCTAACAGAGAAGAACCTTCCTTTTGACAGAGCAGTTTTGATACACTCTTTTTGTAGAATCTGCAAGTGGATATTTGGATTGCTGTGAAGATTTCGTTGGAAACGGGAATATCTTCCTATAAAATCTAGACAGAAGCATTCTCAGAAACTGCTCTGTGATGTCTGCATTCAAGTCACAGAGTTGAACATTGCCGTTCATAGAGCAGGTTTGAAACACTCTTTTTGTAATATATGGAAGTGGACGTTTCGGACGGTTTGAGGCCCATGGTGATAAAGGGAATATCTTCCCATACAAGCTAGAAAGAAGCATTGTGTGAAACTTGTTTGTGATGTGTGTACTCAACTAACAGAGTTGAACCTTTCTTTTTACAGAGTAGTTTTGAAACACTCTTTTTGTAGAATCTGCGAGGGGATATTTGGATACATTTCAGGATTTCGTTGGAAACGGGAATATCTTCATATAAAATCTCGACAGAAGCATTCTCAGAAACTTCTTTGTGATATGTGCATTCAAGTCACAGAGTTGAATATTCCCTTTCACAGAGTAGGTTTGAAACACTCTTTTTGTAGTATCTGGAAGTGGACATTTGGAGCGCCTCGACGCCTACCCTGAAAAGGGAAATATCTTCCCATAAAAACTAGACAGAAGCAATCTCAGAATCTTCTTTGGGATATATGCACGCAGCTAACAGAGTTGAACCTTTCTATTGACAGAGCAGTTTTGAAACAGTCTTTCTGTGGAATCTGCAAGTGGATATTTGGATAGCTTGGAGGATTTCGTTGGTAACGGGATTACGTATAAAAATTAGACAGCAGCATCCTCAGAAACTTCCTTGTGATGTGTGCATTCAAGACACAGAGTTGAACATTCCCTTTCGTACAGCAGTTTTGAAACACTCTTTCTGTAGTATCTGGAAGTGAACATTAGGAGAGCTTTCAGGTCTATAATTAGAAAGGAAATATCTTCAAATAAAAACTAGACAGAAGCATTCTCATAAACTTGTTTGTGATGTGTGAACTCAGCTAACAGAGGTGGATATTTCTTTTGATAGAGCAGTTCTGAAAAACACTTTTTGTTGAATCTGCAAGTGGACATTTGGATAGATTTGAAGATTTCGTTGGAAACGGGAATATCTTCATATCAAATCTAGACAGAAGCATTCTCAGAAACGTCTTTGCGATGTTTGCATTCAACTCATAGAGTTGAACATTCCGTTTCAGAGAGCAGCTTTGAGGCACTCTTTTTGTAGTATGTGCAAGTGGATATTTGGAGCGCTCTGAGGCCTACGGTGAAAAAGCAAATATCTTCCCATAACCACTAGTCAGAAACATTCTCAGAAACTCCTTTATGACGTATGCACTCACCTAACAGAGAAGAACCTTCCTTTTGACAGAGCAGTTTTGATACACACTTTTTGTAGAATCTGCAAGTGGATATTTGGATAGCTGTGAAGATTTCGTTGGAAACGGGAATATCTTCCTATAAAATCTAGAAAGAAGCATTCTCAGAAACTGCTCTGTGATGTCTGCATTCAAGTCACAGAGTTGAACATTGCCTTTCATAGAGCAGGTTTGAAACGCTCTTTTTGTAGTATATGGAAGTGGACGTTTCGGACGGTTGGAGGCCCATGGTGATAAAGGGAATATCTTCCCCTACAAGCTAGAAAGAAGCATTCTGTGAAACTTGTTTGTGATGTGTGTACTCAACTAACAGAGTTGAACCTTTCTTTTTACAGAGCAGTTTTGAAACACTCTTTTTGTAGAATCTGCGAGGGGATATTTGGATAGATTTCAGGATTTGGTTGGAAACTGGAATATCTTCATATAAAATCTCGACAGAAGCATTCTCAGAAACTTCTTTGTGATATGTGCATTCAACTCACAGAGTTGAATATTCCCTTTCACAGAGTAGGTTTGAAACACTCTTTTTGTAGTATCTGGAAGTGGACATTTGGAGCGCCTTGACGCCTACGGTGAAAAGGGAAATATCTTCCCATAAAAACTAGACAGAAGCAATCTCAGAATCTTCTTTGGGATATATGCACGCAGCTAACAGAGTTGAACCTTTCTATTGACAGAGCAGTTCTTAAACAGTCTTTCTGTGGAATCTGCAAGTGGATATTTGGATAGCTTGGAGGATTTCGTTGGAAACGGGATTACGTATAAAAAGTAGACAGCAGCATCCTCAGAAACTTCTTTGTGATGTGTGCATTCAAGTCACAGAGTTGAACATTCCCTTTCATACAGCAGTTTCTGAAACACTCTTTCTGTAGTATCTGGAAGTGAACTTTAGGACAGCTTTCAGGTCTATAGTGAGAAAGGATATATCTTCAAATAAAAACTAGACAGAAGCATTCTCATAAACTTGTTTGTGATGTGTGAACTCAGCTAACAGACGTGGATCTTTCTTTTGATACAGCAGTTTTGTAAAACACTTTTTGTTGAATCTGCAAGTAGACATTTGGATAGATTTGAAGATTTCGTTGGAAACGGGAATATCTTCATATCAAATCTAGACAGAAGCATTCTCAGAAACGTCTTTGCGATGTTTGCATTCAACTCATAGAGTTGAACATTCCGTTTCAGAGAGCAGCTGTGAGGCACTCTTTTTGTAGTATGTGCAAGTGGATATTTGGAGCGCTCTGAGGCCTACGGTGAAAAAGCAAATATCTTCCCATAACCACTAGACAGAAACATTCTCAGATACTCCTTTATGACGTATGCACTCACCTAACAGAGAAGAACCTTCCTTTTGACAGAGCAGTTTTGATACACTCTTTTTGTAGAATCTGCAAGTGGATATTTGGATAGCTGTGAAGATTTCGTTGGAAACGGGAATATCTTCCTATAAAATCTAGACAGAAGCATTCTCAGAAACTGCTCTGTGATGTCTGCATTCAAGTCACAGAGTTGAACATTGACTTTCGTAGAGCAGGTTTGAAACGCTCTTTTTGTAGTATATAAAAGTGGACGTTTCGGACGGTTTGAGGCCCATGGTGATAAAGGGAATATCTTCCCCTACAAGCTAGAAAGAAGCATTCTGTGAAACTTGTTTGTGATGTGTGTACTCAACTAACAGAGTTGAATCTTTCTTTTTACAGAGCAGTTTTGAAACACTCTTTTTGTAGAATCTGCGAGGGGATATTTGGATAGATTTCAGGATTTCGTTGGAAACGGGAATATCTTCATATAAAATCTCGACAGAAGCATTCTCAGAAACTTCTTTGTGATATCTGCATTCAAGTCACAGAGTTGAATACTCCCTTTCACAGAGTAGGTTTGAAACACTCTTTTTGTAGTATCTGGAAGTGGACATTTGGAGCGCCTTGACGCCTACGGTGAAAAGGGAAATATCTTCCCATAAAAACTAGACAGAAGTAATCTCAGAAACTTCTTTGGGATATATGCACGCAGCTAACAGAGTTGAACCTTTCTATTGACAGAGCAGTTTTGAAACAGTCTTTCTGTGGAATCTGCAAGTGAATATTTGGATAGTTTGGAGGATTTCGTTGGAAACGGGATTACGTATAAAAAGTAGACAGCAGCATCCTCAGAAACATCCTTGTGATGTGTGCATTCAAGTCACAGAGTTGAACATTCCCTTTCGTACAGCAGTTTTGAAACACTCTTTCTGTAGTAACTGGAAGTGAACATTAGGACAGCTTTCAGGTCTATGGTGAGAAAGGAAATATCTTCAAATAAAAACTAGACGGAAGCATTCTCATAAACTTGTTTGTGATGTGTGAACTCAGCTAACAGAGGTGGAACTTTCTTTTGATAGAGCAGTTCTGAAAAACACTTTTTGTTGAATCTGCAAGTGGACATTTGGATAGATTTGAAGATTTCGTTGGAAACGGGAATATCTTCATATCAAATCTAGACAGAAGCATTCTCAGAAACGTCTTTTGTGATGTTTGCATTCAACTCATAGAGTTGAACATTCCGTTTCAGAGAGCAGCTTTGAGGCACTCTTTTTGTAGTATGTGCAAGTGGATATTTGGAGCGCTCTGAGGCCTTCGGTGAAAAAGCAAATATCTTCCCATAACCACTAGACAGAAACATTCTCAGAAACTACTTTATGACGTATGTACTCAACTAACAGAGAAGAACCTTCCTTTTGACAGAGCAGTTTTGATACACTCTTTTTGTAGAATCTGCAAGTGTATATTTGGATAACTGTGAAGATTTCGTTGGAAACGGGAGTATCTTCCTATAAAATCTAGACAGAAGCATTCTCAGTAAACTGCTCTGTGATGTCTGCATTCAAGTCACAGAGTTGAACATTGCCTTTCCTAGAGCAGGTTTGAAACGCTCTTTTTGTAGTATATGGAAGTGGACGTTTCGGACGGTTGGAGGCCCATGGTGATAAAGGGAATATCTTCCCCTACAAGCTAGAAAGAAGCATTCTGTGAAACTTGTTTGTGATGTGTGTACTCAACTAACAGGGTTGAACCTTTCTTTTTACAGAGCAGTTTTGAAACAATCTTTTTGTAGAATCTGCGAGGGGATATTTGGATAGATTTCAGGATTTCGTTGGAAACGGGAATATCTTCATATAAAATCTCGACAGAAGCATTCTCAGAAACTTCTTTGTGATATCTGCCTTTAAGTCACAGAGTTGAATATTCCCTTTCACAGAGTAGGTTTGAAACACTCTTTTTGTAGTATCTGGAAGTGGACATTTGGAGCCCCTTGACACCTACGGTGAAAAGGGAAATATCTTCCCATAAAAACTAGACAGAAGCAATCTCAGAATCTTCTTTGGGATATATGCACGCAGTTAACAGAGTTGAACCTTTCTATTGACAGAGCAGTTTTGAAACAGTCTTTCTGTGGAATCTGCAAGTGGATATTTGGATAGATTGGAGGATTTCGTTGGAAACGGGATTACGTATAAAAAGTAGACAGCAGCATCCTCAGAAACTTCTTTGTGATGTGTGCATTCAAGTCACAGAGTTGAACATTCCCTTTCGTACAGCAGTTTTGAAACACTCTTTCTGTAGTATCTGGAAGTGAACATTATGACAGCTTTCAGCTCTATGGTGAGAAAGGAAATATCTTCAAATAAAAACTAGACAGAAGCATTCTCATAAACTTGTTTGTGATGTGTGAACTCAGCTAACAGAGGTGGATCTTTCTTTTCATAGAGCAGTTCTGAAAAACACTTTTTGTTGAATCTGCAAGTGGACATTTGGATAGATTTGAAGATTTCGTTGGAAACGGGAATATCTTCATATCAAATCTAGACAGAAGCATTCTCAGAAACGTCTTTGTGATGTTTGCATTCAACTCATAGAGTTGAACATTCCGTTTCAGAGAGCAGCTTTGAAGCACTCTTTTTGTAGTATGTGCAAGTGGATATTTGGAGCGCTCTGAGGCCTACGGTGAAAAAGCAAATATCTTCCCATAACCACTATACAGAAACATTCTCAGAAACTCCTTTATGACGTATGCACTCACCTAACAGAGAAGAACCTTCCTTTTGACAGAGCAGTTTTGATACACTCTTTTTGTAGAATCTGCAAGTGGATATTTGGATAGCTGTGAAGATTTCTTTGGAAACGGGAATATCTTCCTATAAAATCTAGACAGAAGCATTCTCAGGAACTGCTCTGCCGATGTCTGTATTCAAGTCACAGAGTTGAACATTGCCTTTCATAGAGCAGGTTTGAAACGCTCTTTTTGTAGTATATGGAAGTGGACGTTTCGGACGGTTTGAGGCCCATGGTGATAAAGGGAATATCTTCCCCTACAAGCTAGAAAGAAGCATTCTGTGAAACTTGTTTGTGATGTGTGTACTCAACTAACAGAGTTGAACCTTTCTTTTTACAGAGCAGTTTTGAAACACTCTTTTTGTAGAATCTGCGAGGGGATATTTTGATACATTTCAGCATTTCATTGGAAACGGGAATATCTTCATATAAAATCTCGACAGAAGCATTCTCAGAAACTTATTTGTGATATGTGCATTCAAGTCACAGAGTTGAATATTCCCTTTCACAGAGTAGGTTTGAAACACTCTTTTTGTAGTATCTGGAAGTGGACATTTGGAACGCCTTGACACCTATGGTGAAAAGGGAAATATCTTCCCATAAAAACTAGACAGAAGCAATCTCAGAATCTCCTTTGGGATATATGCACGCAGCTAACAGAGTTGAACCTTTCTATTGACAGAGCAGTTTTGAAACAGTCTTTCTGTGGAATCTGCAAGTGGATATTTGGATAGCTTGGAGGATTTCGTTGGAAACGGGATTACGTATAAAAAGTAGACAGCAGCATCCTCAGAAACTTCTTTGTGATGTGTGCATTCAAGTCACAGTAGTTGAACATTCCCTTTCGTACAGCAGTTTTGAAACACTCTTTCTGTAGTAACTGGAAGTGAACATTAGGACAGCTTTCAGGTCTATGGTGAGAAAGGAAATATCTTCAAATAAAAACTAGACAAAAGCATTCTCATAAACTTGTTTGTGATGTGTGAACTCAGCTAACAGAGGTGGATCTTTCTTTTGATAGAGCAGTTCTGAAAAACACTTTTTGTTGAATCTGCAAGTGGACATTTGGATAGATTTGAAGATTTCGTTGGAAACGGGAATATCTTTATATCAAATCTAGACAGAAGCATTCTCAGAAACGTCTTTGTGATGTTTGCATTCAACTAATAGAGTTGAACATTCCGTTTCAGAGAGCAGCTTTGAGGCACTCTTTTTGTAGTATGTGCAAGTGGATATTTGGAGCGCTCTGAGGCCTACGGTGAAAAAGCAAATATCTTCCCATAACCACTAGACAGAAACATTCTCAGAAACTCCTTTATGACGTATGCACTCACCTAACAGAGAAGAACCTTCCTTTTGACACAGCAGTTTTGATACACTCTTTTTGTAGAATCTGCAAGTGGATATTTGGATAGCTGTGAAGATTTCGTTGGAAACGGGAATATCTTCCTATAAAATCTAGACAGAAGCATTCTCAGAAACTGCTCTGTGATGTCTGCATTCAAGTCACACAGTTGAACATTGCCTTTCATAGAGCAGGTTTGAAACGCTCTTTTTGTAGTATATGGAAGTGGATGTTTCGGACGGTTGGAGGCCCATGGTGATAAAGGGAATATCTTCCCCTACAAGCTAGAAAGAAGCATTCTGTGAAACTTGTTTGTGATGTGTGTACTCAATTAACAGAGTTGAACCTTTCTTTTTACAGAGCAGTTTTGAAACACTCTTTTTGTAGAATCTGTGAGGGGATATTTGGATAGATTTCAGGATTTTGTTGGAAACGGGAATATCTTCATATAAAATCTCGACAGAAGCAATCTCAGAATCTTCTTTGGGATGTATGCACGCAGCTAACAGAGTTGAACCTTTCTATTGACAGAGCAGTTTTGAAAGAGTCTTTCTGTGGAATCTGCAAGTGGATATTTGGATAGCTTGGAGGATTTCGTTGGAAACGGGATTACGTATAATAAGTAGACAGCAGCATCCTCAGAAACTTCTTTGTGATGTGTGCATTCAAGTCACAGAGTTGAACATTCCCTTTCGTACAGCAGTTTTGAAACACTCTTTCTGTAGTATCTGGAAGTGAACATTAGGACAGCTTTCAGGTTTATGGTGAGAAAGGAAATATCTTCAAATAAAAACTAGACAGAAGCATTCTCATAAACTTGTTTGTGATGTGTGAACTCAGCTAACAGACGTGGATCTTTCTTTTGATAGAGCAGTTCTGAAAAACACTTTTTGTTGAATCTGCAAGTGGACATTTGGATAGATTTGAAGATTTCGTTGGAAACGGGAATATCTTCATATCAAATCTAGACAGAAGCATTCTCAGAAACGTCTTTGTGATGTTTGCATTCAACTCATAGAGTTGAACATTCCCTTTCAGAGAGCAGCTTTGAAGCACTCTTTTTGTAGTCTGTGCAAGTGGATATTTGGAGCGCTCTGAGGCCTACGGTGAAAAAGCAAATATCTTCCCATAACCACTAGACAGAAACATTCTCAGAAACTCCTTTATGACGTATGCACTTACCTAACAGAGAAGAACCTTCCTTTTGACAGAGCAGTTTTGATACACTCTTTTTGTAGAATCTGCAAGTGGATATTTGGATAGCTGTGAAGATTTCGTTGGAAACGGGAATATCTTCCTATAAAATCTAGACAGAAGCATTCTCAGAAACTGCTCTGTGATGTCTGCATTCAAGTCACAGAGTTGAACATTGCCTTTCATAGAGCAGGTTTCAAACACTGTTTTTTTAGTATGTGGAAGTGGACGTTTCGGACGGTTTGAGAACCATGGTGATAAAGGAAATATCTTCCCCTACAAGCTAGAAAGAAGCATTCTGTGAAACTTGTTTGTGATGTGTGTAGTCAACTAACAGAGTTGAACCTTTCTTTTTACAGAGCAGTTTTGAAACACTCTTTTTGTAGAATCTGCGAGGGGATATTTGGATAGATTTCAGGATTTCGTTGGAAACGGGAATATCTTCATATAAAATCTCGACAGAAGCATTCTCAGAAACTTCTTTGTGATATGTGCATTCAAGTCACAGAGTTGAATATTCCCTTTCACAGAGTAGGTTTGAAACACTCTTTTTGTAGTATCTGGAAGTGGACATTTGGCGCGCCTTGACACCTACGGTGAAAAGGGAAATATCTTCCCATAAAAACTAGACAGAAGCAATCTCAGAATCTTCTTTGGGATATATGCACGCAGTTATCAGAGTTGAACCTTTCTATTGACAGAGCAGTTTTGAAACAGTCTTTCTGTGGAATCTGCAAGTGGATATTTGGATAGCTTGGAGGATTTCGTTGGAAACGGGATTACGTATAAAAAGTAGACAGCAGCATCCTCAGAAACTTCTTTGTGATGTGTGCATTCAAGTCACAGCAGTTGAACATTCCCTTTCATACAGCAGTTTTGAAACACTCTTTCTGTAGTAACTGGAAGTGAACATTAGGACAGCTTTCAGGTCTATGGTGAGAAAGGAAATATCTTCAAATAAAAACTAGACAGAAGCATTCTCATAAACTTGTTTGTGATGTGTGAACTCGGCTAACACAGGTGGATCTTTCTTTTGATTGAGCAGTTCTGAAAAACACTTTTTGTTGAATCTGCAAGTGGACATTTGGATAGATTTGAAGATTTCGTTGGAAACGGGAATATCTTCATATCAAATCTAGAGAGAAGCATTCTCAGAAACGTCTTTGTGATGTTTGCATTCAACTCATAGAGTTGAACATTCCCTTTCAGAGATCAGCTTTGAAGCACTCTTTTTGTAGCATGTGCAAGTGGACATTTGGAGCGCCCTGAGGCCTACGGGGAAAAAGCAAATATCTTCCCATAACCACTAGACAGAAACATTCTCAGAAACTCCTTTATGACGTATGTACTCAACTAACAGAGAAGAACCTTCCTTTTGACAGAGCATTTTTGATACACTCTTTTTGTAGAATCTGCAAGTGGATATTTGGATAGCTGTGAAGATTTCATTGGAAACGGGAATATCTTCCTATAAAATCTAGACAGAAGTATTCTCAGAAACTGCTCTGTGATGTCTGCATTCAAGTCACAGAGTTGAACATTGCCTTTCATAGAGCAGGTTTGAAACCCTCTTTTTGTAGTATATGGAAGTGGACGTTTCGGACGGTTTGAGGCCCATGGTGATAAAGGGAATATCTTCCCCTACCA